>NC_000005.10:152456832-152757150 GCF_000001405.40 Homo sapiens | reverse complement strand
TACGCTGATGATAGTTTCTTTTGCTGTGCAGAAGCTTTTTAGTTTAATTAGATCCCAGTTGTCAATTTTGGCTTTTGTTGCAATTGCCTTTGGTGTTTTAGTCATGAAGTTTTTGCCCATGTGTATGTCCTGAATGGTATTGCCTAGGTTTTCTTCTTGGGTTTTTATGGTTTTGGGTTTCAGCTTTAACTCTTTAATCCATCTTGAGTTAATTTTTGTACAAGGTGTAAGGAAGGGGTCCAGTTTCTGTTTTCTGCATATGGCTAGCCAGTTTTCCCAGCATCATTTATTAAATAGGGAATCTTTTCTCCATTGCTAGCTTTTGTCAGGTTTGCTAAAGATCAGATGGTTGTAGATGTGTGGTGTTATTTCTGAGGTCTCTATTCTGTTCCATTGGTCTATATATGTTTTGGTACTGGTACCATGCTGTTTTGGGTACTGTAGCCTTGTAGTTCAATTTGAAGTCAGGTAGCATGATGCCTCCAGCTTCGTCCTTTTTGGTCAGGATTATCTTGGCTATGCAGGCTCTTTTTTGTTTCCATATGAAATTTAAGGTAGTTTTTTTCAAATTCTGTGAAGAAAGTCAGTGGTAGCTTGATGGGAATAGCACTGAGTCTATAAATTACTTTGGGCAGTATGGCCATTTTCACGATATTCTTCCTATCCGCGAGCATGGAATGTTTTTCCATTTGTTTGTGTTCTCTCTTATTTATTTGAGCAGTGGGTTGTAGTTCTCCTTGAAGAGATCCATCACGTCCCTTGTAAGTCGTATTCCCAGGTATTTTATTCTCTTTGTAGCAATTGTGAATCAGAGTTCGCTTATGAGTTGGCTCTCTGCTTGTCTATTACTGGTGTATAGGAATGCTTGTGATTTTTGCACATTGATTTTGTATCCTGAGACTTTGCTGAAGTTGCCTATTAGCTTAAGGAGTTTTGGGGCTGAGATAATGGAGTTTTCTAAATATACAATCATGCCATTTGCAACCAGAGACAATTTGACTTCCTATTTTCCTATTTGAATACCCTTTATTTCTTTCTCTTGCCTGATTGCCCTGGCCAGAACTTCCAATACTATGATGAATAGGAGTGGTGAGAGAGGGCATCCTTGTCTTGTGCCAGATTTCAAAGGGAATGCTTCCATCTTTTGCCCATTCAGTATGATATTGGCTGTGGGTTTGTCGTAAATAGCTCTTATTAATTTGAGATATGTTCCATCAATATCGAGTTTATTGAGAGTTTTTAGCATGAAAGGGTGTTGAATTTTATCGAATGCCTTTTCTGCATCTATTGAGATAATCATGTGGTTTTGTTATTTGTTCTGCTTATGTGATGGATTACATTTATTGATTTGCATATGTTGAACCAGCCTTGCATCCCAGGGATGAAGCCGACTTGATTGTGGTGGATAGGCTTTTTGATGTGCTGCTGGATTCGGTTTGCCAGTATTTTATTGAGGATTTTTGCATCAATGTTCATCAGGGATATTGGCCTGAAATTAATTCTCTTTTTTTGTGTGTCTCTGCCAGGTTTTGATATCAGGATGATGCTGGACTCATAAAATGAGTTAGGGAAGAGTCCCTCTTTTTCTATTGTTTGGAATAGTTTCAGAAGAAATGGTTCCAGCTGCTCTTTGTACCTCTGGTAGAATTAGGCTGTGACTCCGTCTGGTCTTGGGCTTTTGTTTTTGTTGGTAGGCTATTAATTACTGCCTCAGTTTCAGGACTTGTTATTGTTCTATTCAGGGATTCGACTTCTTCCCAGTTTAGTCTTGGGAGGGTATATGTGTCCAGGAATTTATCCATTTCTTCTAGATTTGTTTTTAGTTTACTTGTATAGAGGTGTTTATAGTATTCTCTGATGGTAGTTTGTATTTCTGTGGGATCAGAGGTGATATCGCCGTTATTTTTTATTGTGTCTATTTGATTCTTTCTTTTTTTCTTTATTAGTCTAGCTAGCAGTCTATTTTGTTAATCTTTTCAAAAAACGAGCTCCTGGATTCATTAATTTTTTTGAAGGGTTTTTTGTGTCCCTAACTCCTGCAGCTCTGCTCTGATCTTAGTTATTTCTTGTCTTCTGCTAGCTTTTGAATTTGTTTGCTCTTGCTTCTCTAGTTCTTTTTATTGTGAAGTTATGGTGTCAATTTCAGATCTTTCCAGCTTTCTGATGTGTGCATTTAGTGCTATAAATTTGCCTCTTAACACTGCTTTAGCTGTGTCCCAGTGATTCTGGTACAATGTCTCTTTGTTCTCATTGGTTTCAAAGAACTGCTTGATTTCTGCCTTCATTTTGTTATTTACCCAGTAGTCATTCAGGAGCAGGTTGTTCAATATCTATGTAGTTGTGCAGTTTTGAGTCAGTTTTCTTAATCCTGAGTTCTAATTTGATTGCACTGTGGTCTGAAAGATTGTTTATGATTTTCATTTTTTTGCATTTGCTGAGGAGTGTTTTCCTTCCATTTATGTGGTTAATTTTAGAATAAGTTCTATGTGGTGCTGAGAAGAATGTATATTCTGTTGATTTGGGGTGGAGACTTCTGTAGATGTCTATTAGGTCTGCTTGGTCCTGAGCTGAATTCAAGTCCCGAATATCCTTGTTAATTTTCTGTCTCATTTATCTAATATTGACAGTGGGGTGTTAAAGTCTCTCACTATTATTGTGTGGGAGTCTAAGTCTCTTTGTAGGTCTCTGAGATCTTGTTTTATGAATCTGGGTGCTCCTGAATTGGGTGCATGTATATTTAAGATAGTTAGCTCTTGTTGCATTGATGCCTTTACCATTATATAATGCCCTTTTTTGTCTTTTTTGACCTTTGTTGGTTTAAAGTCTGTTTTATCAGAGACTAGGAACGGAGCCCCTGCCTTTTTTTGCCTTCTATTTGCTTGGTAAACATTCCTCCCTCCCTTTATTTTGAGCCTATGTGTGTCTTTGCACATGAGACGGGTCTCCTGAATACAGCCTACCAGTAGGTCTTGACTCTATCCAATTTGCCAGTCTGCATCTTTTAATTGGGGCATTTAGCACATTTACATTTAAGGTTAATATTGTTATGTGTGCATTTGATCCTGTCATAATGATGCTAGCTGGTTATTTTGCACATTAGTTGATGCAGTTTCTTTGTATTGTCATTGGTCTTTATATTTTGTTTAGTTTTTTTGCAGTGGCTGGTATCAGTTTTTCCTTTCCATATTTAGTGCTTCCTTCAGGAGCTCTTGTAAGGCAGGCCTGGTGGTGACAAAATCCCTCAGCATTTGCTTGTCTGGAAAGGATTTTATTTCTCCTTTGCTTATGAAGCTTAGTTTGGCTGGATATTAAATTCTGGACTGAAAATTCTTTTCTTTAAGAATGTTGAATATTGGCCCCCACTCTATTCTGGCTTGCAGGGTTTCTGTAGAGAGATCCTCTGTTAGTCTGATGGGCTTCCCTTTGTAGGTAACCTGACCTTTCTCTCTGGCTGCCCTTAATGTTTTTTCCTTTGTTTCAACCTTGGAGAATCTGACAATTAAGTGTTTTGGGGTTGCTCTTCTGGAGGAGTATCTTAGTGGTGTTCTCTGTATTTCCTGAATTTAAATGTTGGTCTGTCTTGCTAGTTTAGGGAAATTCTCCTGGATAATATCCTGAAGTGTGTTTTCCAACTTGGTTCCATTCTACCTGTTGCTTTCAGGTATAACAGTCAATCATAGGTTTGGTCTTTTCACATAGTTCTATATTTCTTGGAGGCTTTGTTCATTCCTTCTCATTCTTTTTTCTCAATTTTGTCTTCATGCCTTATTTCAGTAGCTTGATCTTCAATCTCTGATATCCTTTCTTCCACTTGATCGATTCAGCTATTGATACTTGTGTATACTACGTGAAGTTCTCCTGCTGTGTTTTTCAGCTACATCAGGTCATTTATCTTCCTCTCTAAACTGGTTATTTTAGTTATCAGTTCCTGTACCTTTTATCAAGGTTCTTAGGTTCCTTGCATTGGGTTAGAACATGTTCCTTTAGCTCAGAGGAGTTTGTTATTATCTTCTGAAGCCTACTTGGTCAATTCATCAATCTTGTTCTCCGTCCAGTTTTGTGCTCTTGCTGGAGAGGAGTTGCAATCATTTAGAGGAGAAGAGGCATTCTGGTTTTTGGAATTTTTAGTGTTTTTGCGCTGTTTTTTCCTCATCTTTGTGGATTTATCTACCTTTGATCTTTGAGGCTGATGAGCTTTGGAAGGGGTTTTTGTGTAAGGGTCTCTTTTGTTGATGTTGATGTTGTTGCTTTCTGTTTGTTACTGTTTCTTCTAACAGTAAGGACCCTCTTCTGCAGGTCTGCTGCAGTTTGCTGGAGGTCCACTCCAGACCCTGTTTGCCTAGGTATCACCAGTGGAGGCTGCAGAACAGCAAAGATTGCTGCCTTCTTCCTGTGGAAGCTTTCTCCCAGAGGGGCACTGACCTGATGCCAGCTGGAGCTCTCCTGTATGAGGTGTCTGTTGATACCTGTTGGGACGTCTCTCCAAGTCAGGAGGCATGGGGATCAGGGACCCACTTGAGGAGGCAGTCTGTCTCTTAGAGCTGGTGCTCTGTGCTGGGACAGTCCCCCTTGTCAAGATCAATTGTTCTCTTCAGAGCTGGCAGGCAGGAAAGATTAAATCCACTGAAGCTGCACCCATAGCCACCCCTTCCCCCAGGTGTTCTGTCCCAGGGAGTTGAGAGTTTTATCTGTAAGCCCTTGACTGGGGCTGCTGCCTTTCCTTCAGCATTGCCCTGCCCAGTGAGGAGAAATCTAGAGAAGCAGTCTGGCCACAGCTGCTTTGCTGTGCTGTGGTGAATTCTGTCCAGTCCAAACTTCCCACCTCCTTAGCACTGTCAGGGGAAAACTGCCTACTAAAGCCTCAGTAATGGTGGACGCCTTTCCCCTCACCAAGCTCAATCATCCCAGGTTGACTTTAGACTGCTGCACTGGCAGTGAGAATTTCAAGCCAGTAGTTCTTAGCTTGCTGGGCTCTGTGGGAGTGGGACCCACTGAGCAAGACCGTTTGGCTCCCTGGCTTCAGCCCCCTTTCCAGGGGAGTGAATGGTTCTATCTCACTGAGGTTCCAGGAGCCGCTGGGGTATGAAAAAAACTCCTGCAGCTAGCTTGGTGTCTGCCCAAACAGCTGCCCAGATTTGTCCTTGAAACCCAGGGGCCTGATGGTCTAGGCACACAAAGGAATCTCCTGATCTGCGACTGCAAAAACTGTGGAAAAAATGTAGTAACCCAGCTGGGTAGCACAGTCCCTCAGGGCTTCCCTTAGGTTGGGGAGGGAGGACCCTCAGCTCCTTGCACTTCCTGGGTGAAGCGATGCCCCACCCTGCTTCTGCTTGCTCCACATGGGTTGTACCCACTGCCTAACCCATCCCAATGAGATGAACTAGGTGCCTCAGTTGGAAATGCAGAAATCACCCACCTTCTTCTTTGATCTCACTGGGAGATGAAGACTGGAGCTGTTCCTATCCGACCGTCTTGGCCTCTCCTGATTTTCTTTACTCAGTCTGCTGATCCAAATGCTAATCTCTCCAGAAACACCCTCATTGACACACTCAGAAATGATGCTTTCTCAGCTGTCTGGGCATCCCTTATTCCAATCAAGTTGATACATAGAATTAACTATCAATTGTTGTTTGCTGATTTTTAAATCAGGTTATTTTTGTTATTTGAGTTCTATAAGTTTCTTATAGTTTGGGATATTCGCCCTCACCACACAGACGGTTTGCAAATATTTTCTTGCATTTTGCAGGTTGTCTTTTCATTTTGTTGATTATTTCCTTTGCTGTGCAGTAACTTTTTAGTTTGATATAGTCATACTTGTTTACATTTACTTTTGTTGCCTGTGCTGTTGGTGTCATATCCAAAATATCATTCCCAAGAACAATGTCTAGGAGTTTTTTTTTTTCCTCCTTATGTTTTCTTCTTAAAGAATTTTGGTTTCAGGTCTTACATTTAAGTCTTCAATCCATGTTGAGTTAATTTTTGTGTGTAATATAAGGATATAATTTCATCTTTTTGCATACAGACATCTAGCTTTCTCAACATCATATATTCAACACACTATCATTTCCCCATCATGTATTCTTGGCACCCTTTTCAAAGCTTGGTTTACCGTACATGTATGGATTAATTTCTGGATGCTCTATTCTGCTCCATTTGTCTTTCTGAATATGTCGGTACCATGCTGTTTTGACAAATATAGGTTTGTAATATAATTTGACATTCAGAAATGCAATGCCTCCAGTTTTTTGTTCTTACTCGAGATTATTTTGTCTACTCAATATCTTTTGTGGTTCTGTATACATTTTAGGATTTTTTTCTATTTCTATGAAAAAAATGACTTTAGTATTTTGATAAGGATTGCACTGAATCTGAAGATTGCTTTGGGTAGTATAACAATTTTAACAAGATTAATTCTTCCAAGCTATAAACACAGAACATCTTTCCACTTATTTGTATCTTTTAAAATTTTTCAAAATATAACTCCTTGGTTAAACTTATTCCTAAGTATCTTATTATGTTTGATGCTATTATAAATGGAATTGTTTTCTTAATATAATTTTTGGATAACTTGTTAGCGTATAGAAAGGCAA
The DNA here is from genome assembly GCF_000001405.40 of Homo sapiens. Taxonomy (NCBI): domain Eukaryota; kingdom Metazoa; phylum Chordata; class Mammalia; order Primates; family Hominidae; genus Homo; species Homo sapiens. The sequence continues at coordinate 152,750,560 of NC_000005.10, read as the reverse complement.
CTGCTTTTTATACTAATTTTGCATCCTGCAACTTTACTGAAGTCATTTATTAGCTTTAACAGGTTTTGGGGGAAGTATTCAGGGTTTCCTAGAAATATAATCATATCATTTATAAACAAAGACAATTTAACTTATTTCTTTGCCGTGTAGATACTGCCTACAGTATCTTGCCTAATTGCTCTACCTAGGACTTCTAGTACTATGTTAATACAAATAGTGAGATCGGACATTCTTGCTTTGTTGCTGATGTTAGAGGAAAAACTTTCATCTTTTCACCATTAAGTATAATGTTAGCTATAGGTTTGTCATGTATGTTCTTCAGTATGTTGAGGTAAATTGCTTGTATATATCATTTGTTGAGAGGTTTTTGTATGGTGAAAGGATACAAAATTTTGTCAAATGCTTTTTTTGCATCTATGGAGTGATGGTATAATTTTTAAATTCCCCATTCTGCTAATGTGGTGTACTATGTTTACCGATTTGTATACATTGAAACATCTTTGCATCTCTGATATCTTCTTGGACCCACTGGTTATTCAGTAGTGTGCTTTTTACATGTTTGTATTTTTTCAAAATTCTTCCTTTTATTGAATTTGAGTTTTATACCACTGTGGTAGAAAAGTACATTTGATATTACTTAAATCTTCAAATTTGTTAACATTTGTTTGGTGGCCGCACATATAATCTATTCTGGAGTATGTACCATGTGTGCTTGGGAAGAGTGTGTATTCTCTTTGGATGAGATGTGCTGCATATGTATCTGTTAGGTCTATTTGGTCTATAGGGTTATTCAAGTTATATCTGAATGATCTATCTGTTGTTGAAGGGGGCATTGAAATTCCCTGCTATTGTTGTATTTCTATTTCTCCCTTAGGTTTTGGCAATCTTTGCTTTATATGTTTAGGTGCTACTGTGTTGGCTGCATATATATTTACAATACTTATATCATCTTAATGAATTGACCCTTTTATCATTATGTAGTAATTTTCTCTGTCTCTCGTGACAGATTTTGACTGAGTTCATTTTGTCTAACAGAAATATAGCCACCCTTGCTCCTTTTGGTTTTCATTTGCTTGGAATATCTTTTTCCATCTCATCACTTTCGACCTATGTATGTCCTTAGGGTTTAAATGAGTCTTTTATGAGCAGCATATTGTTGAATCTTACTTTTCTTTATATCCTTTCACTCTGCGTCTTTTGAATAGCAAATTTAATCAATTTACATTTAAAGTAATTATTAATGGGTAAGGACTTACTACTGCCATTTTATTGTTTATGACATTTTTATTTCCTTTTCGTCTCTTGCTATTTGCTGTTATTTGTTTTGTAATGGAATGCTCTGATTCCTTTAAGTTCAATGATACATGTGCAGGATGTGAAGGTTTGTTACATAAGTAAACATGTGTCATGGGGGTTTGTTGTATAGCTTATTTCATCAGCCAAGTATTAAGCCTACTATCCATTAGTTATTTTTCCTGATCTGTTCCCTCCTCCCAGCCTCTACACTCTGGTAGGCCCCAGTCAGTGTGCATTTTTCCCCTCTATGCATTCATTTAGCTCACATTTATAAGTAAGAACATGTGGTATTTGGTTTTCTGTTCCTGCATTAGTTTGCTAAGGATGATGGCCTCCAGCTCCATCCATGTCCTTGTAAAGTTATGGCTGCATAGTATTCCATGGTATATATATGCCACATTTTCTTTATCCTGTCTACCACTGATGGGCATTTAGGTTGATTCCATGTCTTTGCTGTTTTGAATAGTGCTATTTTGAACATATGCATGCATGTGTCTTTATAATAGAATGGTTTATATTCCTCTGGGTATATACTCAGTAATACCATTACTGGGTATATACTCAGTAATACCATTACTGGGTATATACTCAGTAATACCATTACTGGGTATATACTCAGTAATACCATTACTGGGTATTTTTATCTGTAGGTCTTTGAGGAATCACCACAGTGTCTTTCATAATGGTTGACTACAATCCCACCAACAGTGTAAAAGTGTTTGTTTTTCTCCACAACCTTGCTAGCATCTATTATTTTTTGACATTTTAATAATAACCATTCTGACTGGCATGAGATGGTATCTCATTGTGGCTTTGGTTTGCATTTCTCTAATGGACAGTGATGTTGAGCTTTTTTTCATATGCTTATTGGCTGCATGTATGTCATCTTTTGATAAGTGTCTGTTCATGTCCTTTGCCCACTTTTTAATGGGGTTGTTTTTTCTTGTAAATTTGTTCAAGTTCCTTATAGATGCTGGATATTAGACTTTCATCAAGTGCATAGATTGCAAAAATATTCTCCCATTCTGTAGGTTGTCTGTTTACTCTGTTGATAGTTTCTTTTGCTGTGCAGAAGCTCTTTAGTTTAATTAGATCCCATTTGTCAATTTTGGCTTTTGTTGCAATTGCTTTTGGCATTTTTGTCATGAAGTCTTTGACCACCCCTGTGTCCTAAATGGTATTGCCTAGGTTTTCTTGTAGTGCTTTTATGGTTTTGGCTTTTACATTCTAGTCTTTAATCCATATTGAGTTCATTTTTGTAAATGATGTAAGAAAGGGGTCCATTTTCAGTTTTCTGCATATGGCTAGTCAGTTCTCCTAGCCCCATTTGTTAAATAGAAAATCACTTCCCCATTCTTTTTGTCAGGTTTGTTGAAGATCAGATGGATGTAGGCGTGTGGTCTGATTTCTGGGTTGTGTCTGTTCTTGTACCAGTACCATGCTGTTTTGTTTACTGTAGCCCTGGAGTATAGTTTGAGGTCAAGTAGTGTGATGCTTCCAGCTTTTCTCTTTTTGCTTAGGATTGCCTTGGCTACTCAAGCTCTTTTCTTTGGTTCTATATGAATTTTAAAATACTTTTTCTAGTTCTGTGAAGAATGTCAATGGTAGTTTAATGGGAATAGCATTGAATGCATAAATTGCTTTGGGCAGTATGGCCATTTTCAAGATAATGATTCTTCCTATCCATAAGGCTGAAATGATTTTCCATTTGCTTGTGTTATAGGTATTGAAGGAACATACTTCAAAATAATAAGAGCCAGCCAGTATGATACTGATTGGGCAAAAGAGGCATTCTCCTTGAAAACTGGCACAAGCCAAGGATGTCCTCTCTCACCACTCTTATTCAACATAGTATTAGAAGTTCTGGCTAGGGCAATCAGGTAAGAGAAAGAAATGGTGATATTCAGATAGGAAGAGAGGAGAGTAAACTATCTTTTTTTGCAGATGACATGATCCTATATCTAGAAAACCCTGACATCTCAGCCCAAAAGATTCTTAAGCTATTAAGCAACTTCAGCAAAGTCTCAGAATACAAATAAATGTGCAAATGTCACTAGCATTTCTATACACCAACAGGCAGGAAGAGAGCCAAAGCACAAAAGAACGTCCATTCATAATTGCCACAAAAAGAATGAAATACCTATTAATACAGCTAACAAGGGAAATAAAGGCTCTCTACACAGAGAACTACAAACTACTGCTCAATGTTTCCTTTCTCTTTTTTTTTCTTTTAAAATAAGCTAAATTTAATTGCATATCACCTTGTAAAAACCTAATTGCTGTTAAATTTTCTCTCTTTTTTTTATTATACTTTAAGTTTTAGGGTACATGTGCACATTGTGCAGGTTAGTTACATATGTATACATGTGCCATGCTGGTGTGCTGCACCCACTAACTCATCATCTAGCATTAGGTATATCTCCCGATGCTATCCCTCCCCCCTCCCCCCACCCCACAACAGCCCCCAGAGTGTGATATTCCCCTTCCTGTGTCCATGTGATCTCATTGTTCAATTCCCACCTATGAGTGAGAATATGCGGTGTTTGGTTTTTTGTTCTTGCGATAGTTTACTGAGAATGATGATTTCCAATTTCATCCATGTCCCTACAAAGGACATGAACTCATCATTTTTTATGGCTGCATAGTATTCCATGGTGTATATGTGTCACATTTTCTTAATCCAGTCTATCATTGTTGGACATTTGGGTTGGTTCCAAGTCTTTGCTATTGTGAATAGTGCCGCAATAAACATATGTGTGCATGTGTCTTTATAGCAGCATGATTTATAGTCCTTTGGGTATATACCCAGTAATGGGATGGCTGGGTCAAATGGTATTTCCAGTTCTAGATCCCTGAGGAATCGCCACACTGATTTCCACAATGGTCGAACTAGTTTACAGTCCCACCAACAGTGTAAAAGTGTTCCTATGTCTCCACATCCTCTCCAGCACCTGTTGTTTCCTGACTTTTTAATGATAGCCATTCTAACTGGTGTGAGATGGTATCTCATTGTGGTTTTGATTTGCATTTCTCTGATGGCCAGTGATGATGAGCATTTTTTCATGTGTTTATTGGCTGCATAAATGTCTTCTTTTGAGAAGTGTCTGTTCATGTCCTTCACCCACTTTTTGATGGGGTTGTTTGTTTTTTCCTTGTAAATTTGTTTGAGTTCATTGTAGATTCTGGATATTAGCCCTTTGTCAGATGAGTAGGTTGCAAAAATTTTCTCCCATTTTGTAGGTTGCCTGTTCACTCTGATGGTAGTTTCTTTTGCTGTGCAGAAGCTCTTTAGTTTAATTCGATCCCATTTGTCAATTTTGTCTTTTGTTGCCATTGCTTTTGGTGTTTTAGACATGAAGTCCTTGCCCATGCCTATGTCCTGAATGGTAATGCCTAGGTTTTCTTCTAGGGTTTTTATGGTTTTAGGTCTAACGTTTAAGTCTTTAATCCATCTAGAATTGATTTTTGTATAAGGTGTAACCTAGGAAGGGATCCAGTTTCAGCTTTCTACATGTGGCTAGCCAGTTTTCCCAGCACCATTTATTAAATAGGGAATCCTTTCCCCATTGCTGGTTTTTCTCAGGTTTGTCAAAGATCAGATAGTTGTAGATATGTGGTGTTATTTCTGAGGGCTCTGTTCTGTTCCATTGATCTATATCTCTGTTTTGGTACCAGTACCATGCTGTTTTGGTTACTGTAGCCTTGTAGTATAGTTTGAAGTCAGGTAGTGTGATGCCTCCAGCTTTGTTCTTTTGGCTTAGGATTGACTTGGCGATGCGGGCTTTTTTTTGGTTCCATATGAACTTTAAAGTAGTTTTTTTCCAATTCTGTGAAGAAAGTCATTGGTAGCTTGATGGGGATGGCATTGAATCTGTAAATTACCTTGGGCAGTATGGCCATTTTCATGATATTGATTCTTCCTACCCATGAGCATGGAATGTTCTTCCATCTGTTTGTATCCTCTTTTATTTCCTTGAGCAGTGGTTTGTAGTTCTCCTTGAAGAGGTCCTTCACATCCCTTGTAAGTTGGATTCCTAGGTATTCTATTCTCTTTGAAGCAATTGTGAATAGGAGTTCACTCATGATTTGGCTCTCTGTCTGTCTGTTGTTGGTCTATAAGAATGCTTGTGATTTTTGTACATTGATTTTGTATCCTGAGACTTTGCTGAAGTTGCTTATCAGCTTAAGGAGATTTTGGGCTGAGACAATGGGGTTTTCTAGATATACAATCATGTCGTCTGCAAACAGGGACAATTTGACTTCCTCTTTTCCTAATTGAATACCCTTTATTTCCTTCTCCTGCCTAATTTCCCTGGCCAGAACTTCCAACACTATGTTGAATAGGAGTGGTGAGAGAGGACATCCCTCTCTTGTGCCAGTTTTCAAAGGAAATGCTTCCAGTTTTTGGCCATTCAGTATGATATTGGCTGTGGGTTTGTCATAGATAGCTCTTATTATTTTGAAATATGTCCCATCAATACCTAATTTATTGAGAGTTTTTAGCATGAAGCATTGTTGAATTTTGTCAAAGGCTTTTTCTGCATCTATTGAGATAATCATGTGGTTTTTGTCTTTGGCTCTGTTTATATGCTGGATTACATTTATTGATTTGCGTATATTGAACTAGCCTTGCATCCCAGGGATGAAGCCCACTTGATCATGGTGGATAAGCTTTTTGATGTGCTGCTGGATTCGGTTTGCCAGTATTTGATTGAGGATTTTTGCATCAATGTTCATCAAGGATATTGGTCTAAAATTCTCTTTTTTTGTTGTGTCTCTGCCTGGCTTTGGTATCAGAATGATGCTGGCCTCATAAAATGAGTTAGGGAGGATTCCCTCTTTTTCTATTGATTGGAATAGTTTCAGAAGGAATGGTACCAGTTCCTCCTTGTACCTCTGGTAGAATTTGGCTGTGAATCCATCTGGTCCTGGACTCTTTTTGGTTGGTAAGCTATTGATTATTGCCACAATTTCAGATCCTGTTATTGGTCTATTCAGAGATTCAACTTCTTTCTGGTTTAGTCTTGGGAGAGTGTATGTGTTGAGGAATTTATCCATTTCTTCTTGATTTTCTAGTTTATTTGCATAGAGGTGTTTGTAGTATTCTCTGATGGTAGTTTGTATTGCTGTGGGATCGGTGGTGATATCCCCTTTATCATTTTTTATTGCATCTATTTGATTCATCTCTCTCTTTTTCTTTATTAGTCTTGCTAGCGGTCTATCAATTTTATTGATCCTTTCAAAAAACCAGCTTCTGGATTCATTAATTTTTTGAAGCGTTTTTTGTGTCTCTATTTCCTTCAGTTCTTCTCTGATTTTAGTTATTTCTTGCCTTCTGCTAGCTTTTGAATGTGTTTTCTCTTGCTTTTCTAGTTCTTTTAATTGTGATGTTAGGGTGTCAATTTTGGATCTTTCCTGCTTTCTCTTGTGGGCATTTAGTGCTATAAATTTCCCTCTACACACTGCTTTGAATGCGTCACAGAGATTCTGGTATGTTGTGTCTTTGTTCTCATTGGTTTCAAAGAACATCTTTATTTCTGCCTTCATTTCGTTATGTACCCAGTAGTCATTCAGGAGCAGGTTGTTCAGTTTCCATGTAGTTGAGCGGTTTTGAGTGAGATTCTTAATCCTGAGTTCTAGTTTGATTGCACTGTGGTCTGAGAGATAGTTTATTATAATTTCTGTTCTTTTACATTTGCTGAGGAGAGCTTTACTTCCAAGTATGTGGTCAATTTTGGAATAAGTGTGGTGCGGTGCTGAAAAAAATGTATATTCTGTTGATTTGGGGTGGAGAGTTCTATAGATGTCTATTAGGTCTGCTTGGTGCAGAGCTGAGTTCAATTCCTGGGTATCCTTGTTGACTTTCTGTCTCGTTGATCTGTCTAATGTTGACAGTGGGGTGTTAAAGTCTCCCATTATTAATGCGCGGGAGTCTAAGTCTCTTTGTAGGTCACTCAGGACTTGCTTTATGAATCTGGGTGCTCCTGTATTGGTTGCATATATATTTCGGATAGTTAGCTCTTCTTGTTGAATTGATCCCTTTACCATTATGTAATGGCCTTGTCTCTTTTGATCTTTGTTGGTTTAAAGTCTGTTTTGTCAGAGACTAAGATTGCAACCCCTGCCTTTTTTTGTTTTCCATTTGCTTGGTAGATCTTCCTCCATTCTTTTATTTTGAGCCTATGTGTGTCTCTGCATGTGAGATAGGTTTCCTGAATACAGCACACTGATGGGTCTTGACTCTTTATCCAATTTGCCAGTCTGTGTCTTTTAATTGGAGCATTTAGTCCATTGACATTTAAAGTTAATATTGTTATGTGTGAATTTGATCCTGTCATGATGATGTTAGCTGGTTATTTTGCTCGTTAGTTGATGCAGTTTCTTCCTAGTCTCGATAGTCTTTACATTTTGGCATGATTTTGCAGCGGCTGGTACTGGTTGTTCCTTTCCATGTTTAGTGCTTCCTTCAGGAGCTCTTGTAAGGCAGGCCTGGTGGTGACAAAATCTCTCAGCATTTGCTTGTCTGTAAAGTATTTTATTTCTCCTTCACTTATGAAGCTTAGTTTGGCTGGATATGAAATTCTGGGTTGAAAATTCTTTTCTTTAAGAATGTTGAATATTGGCCCCCAATCTCTTCTGGCTTGTAGGGTTTCTGCCGAGAGATCCGCTGTTAGTCTGATGGGCTTCCCTTTGAGGGTAACCCGACCTTTCTCTCTGGCTGCCCTTAACATTTTTTCCTTCATTTCAACTTTGGTGAATCTGACAATTATGTGTCTTGGAGTTGCTCTTCTCGAGGAGTATCTTTGTGGCGTTCTCTGTATTTCCTGAATCTGAACGTTGGCCTGCCTTGCTAGATTGGGGAAGTTCTCCTCGATAATATCCTGCAGAGTGTTTTCCAACTTGGTTCCATTCTCCACATCACTTTCAGGTACACCAATCAGACGTAGATTTGGTCTTTTCACATAGTCCCATATTTCTTGGAGGCTTTGCTCATTTCTTTTTATTCTTTTTTCTCTAAACTTCCCTTCTCGCTTCATTTCATTCATTTCATCTTCCATTGCTGATACCCTTTCTTCCAGTTGATCGCATCGGCTCCTGAGGCTTCTGCATTCTTCACGTAGTTCTCGAGCCTTGGTTTTCAGCTCCATCAGCTCCTTTAAGCACTTCTCTGTTTTGGTTTTTCTAGTTATACATTCTTCTAAATTTTTTTCAAAGTTAGTTTTCAACTTCTTTGCCTTTGGTTTGAATGTCCTCCCGTAGCTCAGAGTAATATGATCATCTGACGCCTTCTTCTCTCAGCTCCTCAAAGTCATTCTCCATCCAGCTTTGTTCCGTTGCTGGTGAGGAACTGCGTTCCTTTGGAGGAGGAGAGGCGCTCTGCTTTTTAGAGTTTCCAGTTTTTCTGTTCTGTTTTTTCCCCATCTTTGTGGTTTTATCTACTTTTGTTCTTTGATGATGGTGATGTACAGATGGGTTTTTGGTGTGGATGTCCTTTCTCTTTTTTAGTTTTCCTTCTAACAGAGAGGACCCTCAGCTGCAAGTCTGTTGGAATACCCTGCCGTGTGAGGTGTCAGTGTGCCCCTGCTGGGGGTTGCCTCCCAGTTAGGCTGCTCGGGGGTCAGCTGTCAGGGACCCACTTGAGGAGGCAGTCTGCCCGTTCTCAGATCTCCAGCTGCGTGCTGGGAGAACCACTGCTCTCTTCAAAGCTGTCAGACAGGGACATTTAAGTCTGCAGAGGTTACTGCTGTCTTTTTGTTTGTCTGTGCCCTGCCCCCAGAGGTGGAGCCTACAGAGGCAGGCAGGCCTCCTTGAGCTGTGGTGGGCTCCACCCAGTTCGAGCTTCCAGGCTGCTTTGTTTACCTAAGCAAGCCTGGGCAATGGCGGGCGCCCCCTCCCCCAGCCTTGCTGCCACCTTGCAGTTTGATCTCAGACTGCTGTGCTAGCAATCAGTGAGACTCCATGGGCATAGGACCCTCCGAGCCAGGTGTGGGATATAATCTCGTGGTGCGCTGTTTTTTAAGCCCGTCGGAAAAGCTCAGTATTCGGGTGGGAGTGACCCGATTTTCCAGGTGCTGTCCATCACCCCTTTCTTTGACTCAGAAAGGGAACTCCCTAACCCCTTGCCCTTTCCAAGTGAGGCAATGCCTCGCCCTTCTTCGGCTCGTGCACGGTGCACACACCCACTGACCTGTGCCCACTGTCTGGCACTCCCTAGTGAGATGAACCCGGTAACTCAGATGGAAATGCAGAAATCACCCGTCTTCTGCGTCGCTCACGCTGGGAGCTGCAGACCGGAGCTGTTCCTATTCGGCCATCTTCTCCTTTCTCTTTATCTTTTGTGTACTTCCTATTTTGTTTTCCTCTGTGGCTACCATGAGGCTTACATAAAATATTTTTAGTTGTAAAAATGTATTTTAAAATAAACACTTATTCATGTATAAAAACTCTACATTTTACTCCTCCACCCACCAAACACATATTGTATGCTATTGGTGTTATATTTTACACATTTTATGTTGTGTACCTTTTAACAAATTATCATAACTACAGTTATTTATTCTTTTGGCTTTTAACTTTTATACGAGAGTTAAAAGTGACTTATGTACAGCTATTATAGTATTAAAGTATTCTGAATTCAAGTTTACCTTACTATTATATGTTTTCATTTTATAAGTTTTCATTTTATTACTTAGCATCCTTTTGTTTCAGCTTGAGGAACTCTCTTCAGTGTTTCCTGTAAAACACATTTAGTGGTGATATATTCCCTCAGCTTTTATTTGTCTTAGAATATCATTATCTTTCCTTATTTCTGAAGGGCATCTTTGCTGATTATAATATTCTTAGTTGGCAGTTTTTGTTTTGTTTTTCAGTCCATTTAATATATTATTCCGCTCCCCATGGCCTGCAAAGTTTCTACAGAGAAATTCACTTATAGCCTAATAGATGCTCCTGTGTATGTGGTAAATCACTTTTCTTTCACTGTTTTCAAAATTCTCTTTATCATAACTTTTGACAATCTGATTGTAAGGTGTCTCTGAGTAATCTTCTTTTGATTAATATAGAGTGGGGATCTGAAAGCTTCATGAATCTACATTTAGTATTGCTCCCAAGATTTTGGAAAGTTGGAAAGTGGCCATGTTTTTCTTTAAATGAGCTTTCTACATTTTTTCTCTTTCTAGCATATTTCTGGAACTCTTCTAATGCATATATTCATTTGTTGGGTGGTTCCCATATGTCCCATATGCTTTCTTGACTCTTTTTCATTTTTTTCTTTTTGTTCCTCTAAGGGGCTAATTTCAAATGACCTGTCCTTCTATTCACTGATCCATTCTTCTTCATGATCAAGTATGATGTTCAAGCTTTCTATCATTTTTTTTTCAGTTCTGTCAGTGTATTCTGCAGCTTTGGGATTTCTGTTTGATTCTTCTTTATGGTGTTTATTTCTTCACTACATTTCTCTTTTTCCCTAAATCATTTTCCTGATTTTGTTTGGTTTTCTATTTGTGTTTTCTTACATCTCATTGAGCATATTTAAAATGAATACTTCGAATTATTTGTCAGGCAATTTGTAGATCTTCAATTTTTCATGTTGGCTACTGGAGCTCTGTTCTTTTTGTGGTGTCATATTTGCTTGATTCTTTGTGATTCATGTAGGCTTGCATCATCAGTGTTCATGCATTTGAAGAAGCAAACAACTCTATTTCTTATAGTCTGGATCCTGCAGATAATGACCTTATTCTATCAGGTCCCCTTACTTAAGAAATTGCCTCTTGGGAATGCAATAAAGTGGCTTTGTGGTTAGGTTATGTTATGTGGCTGCTTCTGGGTCTGCAATGAAGTCTATGGTTCATAGGCTTGTCATCAGGCAATTGTGGATCCTGCGTGGTCTCTGAGTAGATCAAAGTGTCTCCAGGACATTGGTCAGTAAGGCTAGTGCTGGGGAAAGTGTCCATTTCAGGGTCAACATTTGAATCCACAGATAGTGGGCCTGATACCAGTTATGCAGATGGGGGTGGCTCATACTGGGTCACTGGGTACATCCACGGACAATCAGAGTGGTCCTGCAGTGTGGCTGATGGGTGACAATGGAATCACAGGGCTGCTTCAGTGTTGACAGCTGGTACTGATACGTACAGGCCTGTCTTTGGGGATGGGTATGCCTCTTTCTAGATTCCTGGGCAGCAGGACTGGCCCCAGACCTCAGTGGAGTGCAGCCAGTACTAGGTCACAGGGCCACTTCAGGATCTGCAGTGGAACCTCCATTGGCATCCCTGCCTTTGGCTCAGTCCTTCTTTAGGGCTCAGTGGGGAACGTGCCTCTCCATGCACTCTCCACTGAGCCCTCAGGAAGGCAGTAGACTCCAACTGAAAAGGGCTAGAACCAAGTCATAGGGCAGGTTTCAAATCTGCAGTCAAATTAGGTTGGCAAGCCTGTCTCCAGTTCAAGGATGGTTGTATCTCCTTCTGGATTCTTAGCAAGCAGGATACTTCCAGACCACAGCTGGGAGGTGGACTTGGTTTACAGGCCACTTCAGAATCCACAGCTGGTACCAAGATTAACAAGCCTGTTCCCCAAGGCACAAGCAGATATGCCTCCGGCCAGCTCCCTTTGTGGAATGCCCAGGTGACAAGACTGTAGCTGAGTCCATGGGGGTACAGGACTGTTTCCAGGTCTGCATCTGAGACTACTGTGGGCAATCCTTCTGTGCAGGTCCAAGCCTGCCTTTTCAAAAGTGACCCTCTTATGTCTTTGACTCTACTAAGGTATTGTAACCTCCTACCTGGATCTCAAAGCTATAACAAACCATTTTTGTTCCCGTGTCACTGACAAATTATTGTTGTGGGGGATACAAACAGGAGACCTCCTGTTCCATCATCTTTCTGACATCAGTCTCCCTAAAACTAGTTGTATTTCTATACACTAGAAATGAATAATCTGAAAAGAAAATTGAAAAAACAATTCCACTAACATCAAAAATAATTTAAAACTATATTTTAAAGATAAAGTACAATACTTTTACACTGAAACCTACAAATAAGTGTCAAAATAAATTGAGGCAGATTTAAATAAATGGATATTTCATGTACATGGGATAGAAGATTTAATATTATTGAGGTAGCAGTACTCCCCAACTGGATCTGCAGGTTCAGTGAATTTCTTATTAAATCTACAATTTTGTTTTTTCAGAAGTAAACAAGACCATAATAAAATTTATATGAAAATGCAAGGGGCCCTGGATAACCAAAATAGCACTGAAAATGTTAACTTACAATTCCATATTTCAAGACTTACCACAAAGTTGTAGTAATCAAGACAGTGTAGTAGTGCCAAAAGAACAGGCATAGTGACCAATGTAATAAAATTGAGAATTAAGAAATAAACCCATACATCCATGGTCAACTAAATATTTCTAATAGTGCCAAAGCCATTCAATGGGGGAAAGAATCATCTTCTCAACACATGATAATGAGACAACTGAATATCCAGATGCAAAAGAATTTGGACTTTTACCTCACACTATGTATAAAAATTAGCTCAAATTTACAGGGCTAAATTAAACAACTAGAACTATAAAACTCTTAGAAGGAAACTTAGCTATAAATCTGTGTTACTGTAATTTAGGCAGCAGTTTCTTAGTTGTAACAGCAAAAGCTTAAGCAACTAAAGAAATAAAATTGATACAGTGAATATTATCAAAATGTTAATTTTTTTTTTTTTTGGAGACGGAGTTTCACTCTTGTTGCCCAGGCTGGAGTGCAATGGCGGGATCTCAGCTCACGGCAACCTCCGCCTCCAGTTTCAAGCGATTCTCCTGCATGACCCTCCCAAGCAGCTGGGATTACAGACATGTGCCACCACGCTCAGATAATTTTCTATTTTTAGTAGGGACAGGGTTTCTCCATGTTGGTCAGGCTGGTCTCGAACACCTAATCTCAGGTTATCCACCCGCCTTGGCCTCCCAAAGTGCTGGGATTACAGGTATGAGACACCGCGCTCAGCCCAAAATGTTAAATTTCTCTGCATCAAAAGACACCATCGAGGGAGAGGTGCCAAGATGGCTGACTAGAAGCAGCTTGTGTATACCACTGTCACGGAGAGGAGATAGAGTGATGAGTAAACACTAGCTCTTCAAGAGGATTATCTGGGAAGCCATATTGTGATTCATCAATGAAGTATTAGTGACCCATAGAGAGCAGAGAGGAGTGAGGCAAGACAAGACAAGCACTCACCCAGGATTGGAGCAGAGGAAAGGGAGGTTACCCACCTACCACCTACCAATTTAATTTGTGAATAACCTGTACACTGAGAAGTATAAGAAATTGAAGACACAAATAAATGGAAATATACTCATGAAAAAATTAATATTGTTAAAATGTTCATGTTACTCAAAGCGATCTACGGGTTCAATGAAATTTCTATCAAAATTCCAGCATCAGTTTTCACAGGAATAAAAATTAAATCCTAAAATTCATATGGAAATAGAAAAGACGTCAAAGAGCCAAAGCAATCCTGAGAGAAAAGAACACAGCTAAAGACGTTAAAATTTCTGATTTCAAAATATAAAGTCATTGTAATTAAAACAGCATGGTACTAGCATAAACACAGACACATCAACCAATGGAACAAGATAGAAAGCCCAGAAATAAACCCAATAATATATGGTCAATTGATTTTTGAGAAAGCTGCCAAGAAAACAATGGGGGAAAGACTCTCTTTAGTAAGTGGTGTTGGGAAAACTGGATACCCACAGCAGAAGGATTAAGTTGGACCCTTATCTCACACCATATACAAAATTACAAAATCTCAACTAAAATGAACAAAAGACTTAAGAAAGACTTGAAATTCTAAAGCTTCTAGAAGAAAATGTAGAGGAAAATTTCTATGACATCCGTTTGTGTGATGATTTCTTCAATAGGATTCCAAGAGCACAGGCAATAAAAGCAAAAATAAACAATGGAACTCTATCAAAGTAAAACTACTTTTGCACAACAAAGAAAATAATTGGCAGAATGAAGATACAACCCATGGATTGGGAGAAAATATTTTCAAATCATACATCTGATAATGGACCAATATCCAAAATATATAAGAAACTCAAACAACTGAATAGCAAGAAAAAAAATTGAAAATGGGCAGAGGATCTGAACAGAAAATTCTCAAAACATGAGATATGAGTTTCCAACAGACATAAAAAAATGTTCAGCATTACTAATCATCAGAGTAATACAAATTAGAAGTACAATAAGGTTATCTCTTTACACCTGTTACAATGACTATTATTAAAAATACAAGTAATAATAAATGTTTGTGATGATGTGAGCAAAAGGGAAACCTTGTGCAGTCTTAGTGGGAATGCAAATAAATATAGCCACTTTGGAAAATAGTATGGAGATTTCTCAAACAACTATAAATAGAATCACTGTATAATCCAGCAATCCAGCTTCTGGGTACATAGCCAAAGGAAGTGAAATAGGTATGTTAAAGAGATAGCTCCACTAGCATGTTCATTCCAGCATTAGTCACAATAGTCATGATATCAGAGCAACCTAAAAGTCCAACAGAAGAATGAATAAAGAAAATATGGCATATACACACAATGGGATATTGTACAGCCTTTAAAAAGAAGAAAATTGTATCATTCATGATAACATAGATAAAACTGGAGAATATTATGCCAAGTGAAATAACCCAGAAAGACACATAGCATATGATCTCTCTTATATGTGGAATCTAAAAAAATTAATCTCATAGAAACAGAGGGTAGAAAGGTGGTTACCAGAGGCTAGGATGGAGGGAGAGTGACAGGAAAAGGGGAGATGCTGATCAAAGGGTAGAAAGTTTGCTAGAATAAGCTTTAGTGACTTATTGCACTGCATGATGACCACAGTTAATAATAAAGCACATTTCAACATTTTTAAAAGAATAGATATTTAATGTTCTCACTACACACAAAAAATAAGTTTGTGAGGTGATGAATATATTAATTAGCTTGGTCAACTTTTTTTCTATAATGTGTACATAGATCAAAACATCACACTGTGTTGCATAAATGAACATTATTATTTCTCAATTAAAAATAAATTTTTAAAAACCCACAGATTGGGAGAAAATACTTGGACAGATTGGGAGAAAATACTTGGAAATCATATATCTGATTAGGGACTTGTATTTAGAATACATAAAGAACTCTTCCAACTCAATAGTGAAAGAGCAAACTGTCCACTTAAAAAAATGGTTAAAGGATTTAAATAGACATTTCTTCAGAGAATATACACAAATTGCCAGTCCATACATAAAAATAAGCTCAACATCATTAGTCATTAGGGAAATGCAAATCAAAACCACAATGAGATATCACTTCACATCCACTAGGATGGCTACTATGACGTGAATGTCTTTGCTAAAACTCATGATGAGATTTAATTGCTATTAAATTAGTGTTAAGAGGTGCTGCCTTTGGGAGGTTATTATGCCATGAGAACTCTACCCTCATACATGGATTAATGCTGTTATTGCAGGAGTGGGTTAGTAATAGCAGGCTCTTTTTTTCTGTCTTATGTGCCAACTTCCACCATGAGATGATCATTACCAGGTATCAGCACCATGCTCTTGGAATTTCCAGCCTCTGGAACCATGAGCCAAATAAACTTATTTTCTTTATAAATTACCAGATCTGTTACATTCTGGTATATTAGCAGGAAACAGACTAAGACAATGGCTATAACCAGCAAGACAGATGATACCAAATATCAGTGAGGAAACTAGAACTCTAACACATAGTTGATAGGGATGTAAAATGGGACAGCCACTGTTGTAAATTGTTTGGCAGTTCCTTAAAAAGTTGAATGTAGAATTATCATATGAACCAGCAATTCTACTCCTACATATATACTCAAGACAGTTAAAAACATGTTCACACAAAAACTTGTATATGAATGTCCACAGATGCATTATTCATAAAAGACAAAAAGCAGAAACAAACCAAATTTCCATAAGCTGCTAAAGCAGTAAGCAAATTAATATATCTAAACAATGGAATATTATCCAGGCCTAAAAAGGACTGAAATACTGTTACATGCTACAACATGGATAAGCTTTGAAAACATCATTTCTAAGTGACAGAAGCCAGACACAAAAGCTGCATATTGTGTGATTCCATTTATTTGAAATATCTGTAAAAGATGTAAGCCAAAGATAAAATTCTAAACCCCCAAACTGGCTGATGCACCCTCCCCTCCCCAGATTATCCTGAATGACTAGTTCAGGCCATGATGGGAAGTGGGAATCAGACATGCCTCACAAATATCAATACAGAGACTTTAAGACTGACAGAACAGACTCTTTAGGTATGGTTAGAAACATTTACAATCTATTCTCTCTGAAGCCTGCTACCTGAAGGCTTCACCTGCATGATAAAACCTTGATCTCCATAATTCCTATTGTAACCCAGATATGATTTTCTATTTGATTCCAGACCTTTAGATAATAGCTCTTTCAACCAGTTGCCAATCAGAAAACTTTAAATCTACCTAGAGAGAAAAGGTCAGAGTCAGAGAGAGATGCAACTAACAGAAAAACAATGCTACACAGAACTTGACCCATTGATGCTGGCTTTAAGATGAAGGAGCTATGAGCCAAAGAGTAAACATGGCCTCTAGAGGTGGAAAAGACAAGAAAATGTGTTCTCCCCTAGAGCCTCCAGAAAGGAACATAGCCTTGCTTGCCAAAAACTTTATTTTAGCTGGACAAGACCTCTGATAGACTTCTAACCTAGAACATTGTAAGATAATAAATTTTGTTGTTTTCAGCCATCAACTTTGTGCTAATATGTTAATTCAACAATATAAAATACAAGTTCTAATATGAAAAAATATAAACCATAGCCATAGATTTCACACTATGCACACAAATCCATTCCAGATGATTGCTCATCTAAATGAGAAAAACTAAATTAATCAAGTAAACTTCTAAAGGATATATGGCAAAATATCTTCATAACTTTGAGGTAGACAACATTTTTTTAAGCAGGAAACAATTGCACAAAGCATAGATAAAATGAAAATGAAAAGTTCTACTTTTTAATTAAGGTAATACACAAAATAAAAACATAATAAAATAAACACCAATATAAAGAAAACTTTCTGCTTTCTTAAGTGTGATAATACCAGAAGCAAAATGAAAATATATACCATGGAGTAGGGAAAAAATATATATATATGTATGTGTGATCATATATATACACATGAATATATATATAAAAATTATAAATCAAGTAAAATTTTAATGTACATTAAAAATAATAAAAAGACAAATATCTAATGTACCCCATAAATATATATACCTACCATGTACTCACAAAAATTAAAAATATAACATTTATAAAATAGCAATATCATAATTTTGCAAATGCTAAGATATAAAAAAGAAGACTTGACAGACATTTCATCAGAGGCTACATTTCTACAGCAGTAAAAGTGAATGTATTGCAACTATGTACAATATCAGTGATAACTATCACAAAATGGCCAAAAAGACACAAAAGAACGTATGTTATATCTTGGCATTCATATAATGTTTTAAATAAACCCAAATTACCTATAGTTTCAGAAGTCAGGACAGTGCTTATCCATGGCATGGGGTTAGAAGTGAGATGGGTACATGTGAGTAGCTTCTCTTTGTAATTTTCTGTTTCTTGATCAGGTTGTTTGTTCCACACCACGTGTGTGTGTTCAAATTTTGAAAATTTACAAGGTAAACTCATGATTTCTGCATTTGAAACAAGATGTATACTATTTCTTGATAAAAGTCAACCTTAAAAGCAAGCAAGCAAATGGAACAAGTATTAGTAAAGAGCACAAGCAAATCACTTATGTGGCTCATTCTAATCCCTCAGTAAGTGGCAGCTATTATTTTTAAACCTTTTTTTCTTCTTCCACTTCTCATCAATGTGTTAGAAAACACCTCCCTCTCTCTTCTTTGCTATTTTTCTTCAAGACAACAAGAAAGATTATTGTTAATAATTATTCGCTTATATTAAGAAAGTTCTGAAATCACAGTGTCTTAAGAATTTGGGCTCTAAATTTCTAAAATGATTTTAAGTGTTCATAAATCTCCTTTAGAATATCTGCAAAAGGTATCTACATCTTGCACTCCTCTAATTACATCCACTTTTCTTCAAGTACCAGTAATCAGTTTTTTTTAAGAAATATCATTTTGAATAAAGGTTATTGTTTTATCAACTTCCATTTCTAGTACCTACTAACAATATTTTCTATCATTTTGCTATATAGATCATGTTATATACCTAAATATGTTATATACATATATATGTATGCATGCATATATGCTATGTGTATATATGTGGTATTTCTAATACAGTTTAAACAGGCTTTTATCAGAACCAAAATTTCAAAATTATATTCACGGGAAAATACATTCTACATTCTAAGGTATTGACTGAAAAATGACCTGTATGAACTTTAAAGTAAAACTGTATATCCAAAAAAGTTTAATATGGACATAAAAAATGTAATTTAAAACTCTTCATAGTGATTTTACTTCTTGTACCCATTTCACCATATATCCATACATTTTTCTTAACAGCTATTCCATGAAGGACCAAGGCAGGCATTGTCAGCTATATTTTATATATGAAAAAACAGGCACAAAGCAATTGCCTCAAGTTCACGAAGTTTGTTTCAGACTCAAGGAAAAAAATAAAAAACACAAAGCCCAGGCTTTCTTTTTCTAATTAAGTTTGTTCTTTTTGTCCTCTGTACTCCATTCTCCCTCCTATACTCAACACAGTTTACTTATGCTGCTTTGTGTACTCCTTGTACTTAAAATAAGAAAGGCACATATAGATATTAAGAATACATAAGGAAGGTCCAAAGAATATAGGTGACTCTTGAAAACATGAATTTCGAAGTACAAATAGGATTAGGTTTAGCATTGGGTAGAGAGAAGTGCAATACAAATGGAGGAAGGTACCACCTGTCAAACAGGGTACATGCAGTTGTTAATAAGCAAATTCAACTACTTAGAAGAGAGTGACAGTGTTAAGAGGAGAGGAAAATAGACAAAAAATTGAAAACTATTGCAAAAAATTCAGTGCACACTGTAGCACAGTAATCCCTCCTTATCCAAGGGGATACATTCCAAGACTCCCAGTAGATGCCCAGAACCCCAAATCATATAGAATTTGACTTATAATAAATGTATTTTCCTATACATACATAACTATGATAAAGCCTAATTTATAAATTAGGCACAGTAAGTAATTAATAATACAATAGAACAGTTAAAACAATATACCATAATAAAAGTTATGAAAATATGTGTATTCACAGTCTCTTACATATTCTTTCTCAAAGTACTATAATATTCTTGGACCACGGTTGACTGAGAGTAAATAAAACTGCAGAAAACAAAATTGTGGGTAGGGGGACTAGTACATTTCTACCAAATGAGTCAGTATTAATTAATGAAACTCTCTAGAAGTCTGTTTGGACTTTAAGAGCATGTTTTTATTTCTTGTTTAGCTCAGGATTGAGAAAGAAGGTAGGCCTCCCTGGATGAGAAGCTAGTGTTAAAAATATACTTTAAACAAATAAAATTTAACAAAGTTTAATTGAGCAGAGGATGATTTGCAAATCAGGCAGCCCCCAGAACTATAATAGGTGTTCAGAGCAACTCCAGGACTGCCTCATGGTCAGATAAAATTTATGGACAAGGAAAGGGAAGTGGCATACAGAAAATAGAAGGGAGGTACAGAAACAGCTGAATTGATTACAGCTGGATATTGCCTTATTTGAACCTAGTTTGAACAGTTGACTAACTGTGGTTAATGGAACTTTGACCGCAGTAATTCGCTGAGACTCTGCTACTTGTTGCATGGTAGGTTACAGGTGGTTTACATGTCAAGTTATAGTTCATTATGTACAGAGGAACCTTTCAGCCAAACTTAAAATATATAACAAGTCAGCTTTAGGCCAAACCGACCCAAAGTTTAACAATCTTCCCTTTTGGTCAGCCTCTCAATTTTGAGAAATTGAACAAAACTTTAGGCATTCACATAACTCTGTCACCACTGTAAATAGACTTACGTGGTCTCAAATCCCACTAGAAAATAGCAATGGGTTTTGTAAGGTGTGAACAAAGAAACAGAACAATAGAAAAAAAATGCCTGGTTAACATCAAGTTACTTCAGTTTAGTTTTTTGTAAGGGTTAGAACTAAAGGGATCTTAATGTACCAGAATCTGTTGCCTTCAGAAGGGGTGGGGGGAAAAACTGGTTTTTGTATCTCTTTTTTTTTTTTTTTTTTTTGAGACGGAGTCTCGCTCTGTCGCCCAGGCTGGAGTGCAGTGGCGGGATCTCGGCTCACTGCAAGCTCCGCCTCCCGGGTTCACGCCATTCTCCTGCCTCAGCCTCCCAAGTAGCTGGGACTACAGGCGCCCGCCACTACGCCCGGCTAATTTTTTGTATTTTTAGTAGAGACGGGGTTTCACCGTTTTAGCTGGGATGGTCTCGATCTCCTGACCTCGTGATCCGCCCGCCTCGGCCTCCCAAAGTGCTGGGATTACAGGCGTGAGCCACCGCGGCCGGCCTGTATCTCTTTGCTTAAAGTTTTGTTTTGATTATATGGCATTTGGCCTGAGTGATTCTATTTTAGTTTGTTCTGGTCTGATGGGGCCTAGGGCAGGAGCTCAGTCAAAAACATTGCCCTCCCATAATTCTGCGTAGCAATTTCCCCTTTTTGATCAGGTTCTTACCTAAGTGAGAGTGTGACCAAACCTTAGGACATGAGTGCTACTCTTCTCAGTTACCATCATTTTTAGTTTTCTGGTTTAAATACGCCATTCATAGGTTATGTTGTCCTCATAATCATGCTTTTCTTTGAGATTTTCTATTCCAGTCAAAGAGGGTCCATTTAATGTTCTACAGATGGCTGCATGCAACTATTTAAAACTTTAGAGGCTGGGCGTGGTGGCTCATGCCTGTAATCCCAGCACTTTGGGAGACCAAGGTGGGTGGATCACCTGAGGTCAGGAGTTCAAGACCAGCCTGGCTAACATGGTAAAACCCCATCTCTACTAAAAATACAAAAAATTAGCCAAGCATGGTGGCAGGCACCTGTAATCCCAGCTACTCAGGAGGCTGAGGCAGGAGGATTGCTTGAACCTAGAAGGCAGAGGTTGCAGTGAGTTGAGATTGCACCGCTGCACCCCAGCCTGGGCAACAAGAGCGAAACTCCATCTCAACAAAAATAAAAAATAAAACTTTTGAGAGAAACTGTAAATCAGGGAGACTATTATAACTATCAGAAAGACAATACCACGAGTCTGAATTGTGCTTCTTCGCCGGGATTCCCATGAACGAACACAACTAAAATGCATTAAAGAATCAGCTGGAGGAATTCTATTCATTTTAAATAAGCATCTTGTCTGTTAATCCCTTGCAACTGAGTCTCTATAATACCCACTGTATTCATCCACGTGCAACAAGAAGTGTCAACAACTGCACAGATCCTTCGCTATTCTGCCAGTAGGTAAGCTAGGGTAATTCTATTATGTAGTGCAACTTTAGCAAGAGAATAAGTCTACTGTGCAACCAGAGCCTTTGTAGTAAAATCTGCTGTAGAGTTTATTTTGGGGAATAAATATCTAACCATTGCCACCATTGCCTTGTTTATATTCATTCCAGGCCATGAAAAAGCAGCCTTAACAAATGATGTTGATCCAGAAGGGTAAAGGCCTCTTGACAATGTTTTTTGTTTTTGTTTTTGTTTTGAGACACAATCTCCATCTGTCACCTAAGCTGGAGTGCAGTGGTGCGATCTTGGCTCACTGCAACCGCCACCTCCCAGGTTCAAGTGATTCTCCTGCCTCAGCCTCCCGAGTAGCTGGGATTACAGCCATGCATTTTTGTATTCTTAGTAGAGACAGGGTTTCACCATGTTGGCCAGGCTGGTCTCAAACTCCTGACTTCAAATGATCTGTCGCCTCGGCCTCCCAAAGTGCTTGGATTACAGGTGTGAACTACCATGACTGGCCAGCAATGTTCTTTTTAACTTACTTACAGTGTAGGTTAGGAGGATTGGATCAATATTCTGTTTCTGACTATGAAGCAACAAAGGAACTATTAAATTTTCTAGCCCACATTGGCCCTTTATCTTCCATTAATCAGGGTATAAGTTTGTCCATGTATAGGGTCGTCTGCAAAATTCTCCACAAATAAAAGTAAACCCCATGTATGCGTACAAAGACCCCTTTTCTGATTCCATTGTTTATGGATACATTACTTGGAATGGTGAAATTAGCAGTTTCTAGCCAAGGGTCTGAGGTAGAATTATTACAGGTTGAAAGAATACTGTAGTACCCTAGCACATAAGTCAGTTTGCAAGAAACTCCTCCTAGGCTTTTGGTGCAAACCTGTCTTGTGTTGGTCCCGGTCCTTGTATCCCATTACTGAGTTAAATTAAAAAAAGGAATGAGAAAATGTGGGTCTAGTTACCCCCTGTGTGAACTACGGGATCCATTAGGTCATGTAAAGTCTGTGTTTGGCATGACATATTAAATGCTCCGTAAAGTTACCCACAGAAGGTACTGATTGTGGAAATCTAATTACAGCATTATCCTGCTGAGCGAAAGAGGTATATATAAATAAGAAAAAGATAAGAGTTTCATGATGACAGAAAACTATTGACCCAGAATCCTGGGAAAGCTGTCCATGTCTAGGATACTGTCTGCTTCTGAGCAGAAACTTTCCTGGTGAGTTTTACCTTAGGATCCACATGGGTGTACCATGTCCAAGAGTATAAAGAGGTACTTTTGAGCTACAAAATGTGGACCCAAGGTTTGAGGTCCCAAAGTTTTGCTGCAGCGTTGGTGGCAAGGGCAGTCTTTCTTTCTCTGATGACACTTCCAGAAGACCTAATCTCTGGGTTTTAGACTGTAAAGAGTTTTATTGTCCTCAGCTGGTGGATCATGAAAAACTTCCTTTAGCTGGCAAAAATATACTTTGGTGTACAACCATAAAGCCATGCAGTATTTAGTCACACTAGAGTTTAGGAGAGCGGAGGTACATTAGGTTCTATTATTAGGAGCACAGGCCTTTCCAGTGACTATTTCATAAGGGGTCAACTTATATTTTCAATTGGAAGTAGAAATGACTGTCATCAATTTGCAATGCCTTTGATCAAGGCAATCCAGTGGATTCAATTAGTTTTGCTTAATGCTATTGTGTCTGTAATAACTTAGCTAACTGTTTTACAACTCATCCAGTGAAACAAGAACCTCTATCACTGGGGATTTCCCCAGGTATACCCCTGGAGAAAACACATTTTCTAATAACCTTTAGCTATGGTTATAGCATTGGTCTTCTTGCGTTAAAAAGCTTGTATACAACCAGAAAACACAGACTGAAAATGGCAATTGAATGAAAAATCCATCTAGAAATGTTCATATAGCCCATCAGGTAGCAGAAATGTACCCAAAGTTTTGATTATCTTTCCAGGATTATGGATTTGACAAATAAAACATTGATCATAAATCATTTTAGCAATTTTAGAAAAGTCTCCACACATTTTTTTTTCATTATTTCAATCATCTATTCCATGATGAGTCATGGAGTGTAGAGTTTTAATAATGGAGGTGTTAAGGAAGCAGGAAGGACTAGGCAGCTGTTCAGGCCCTCTGTGAGTACACATTTCATATTGAATTTATATCCTCTGAAATACCAATTTTGTTTCTCCAATTCCAGTGCATAGCACTGTTTATTAAATTAATTATTATAGGTAATTTGACTTGGATCAAGGAGATCATTCAAATTGCATATTTTAACATTTTCAGTACCGGCTGACTTAGCCAATGTATTTCCTCATAATTTAATTCTTCTCTGCTTGGGTTAGCAGTATTATGAACCAATTTTTTTTTCATTAGAGTTCTGAGGTTTTTTTATCCAGTCCAACAGTATAATCTTAAAGTTATCAGACATTTGTACTTTCAGAGTCCCTTCCATGAACCTCCTTGAAAGCACAACTCTTTAGGATTATAATAGCTTATAAAGAGCTTTCCAAAAAAGCATCAGATTAAGCAATTTACTGTGTACAAGTAGACTTAAAACAGTCATGGTTAAAGATGCGATTGACAAGGAAATTTGGTTATTCCTGTGGCCTGTAATAATTTTATATAATAGTAATAATTATGACTGATAATATACATCAAGACATATCAGAATTTTAGGAATCTCATACAAGTTTGGAACATGTATTAATAGCATATCCATAGAAACATAATTCAAAAAAAAGGTTAAACATTCTTTCCTGTTACAAGACAGTGCTACTTGTGTAATTTAACATATCAGATATGCCTTCATTTATTATCTTTGTTTATTTTATTTTCTCTTTTTTAGATGCTTCAGGGGCCCTCTGGGACATCCAAAGTTAGTTTGAGGTCAAAAAGACTTCATTTTGATTTTGAATTTTGATTTTGGAAAGTCAGTCAAATATGTCAGAGGTTTAAAATAATTGATCAAAATAGGATCACAGGCCATGATAATAATTCTTCATTTAGCCAAAATAATAACCAAAAGATTTGAGAAAGAAAAAACCTTCACTGTTTGATAGACACTCAATTTTCCAAATAATCAAAAGACCTAATAAAGACAGCAGAAAACACACAAAATCTTTTTCCCTTTCTCTCCCCTACCCCTTTTTTGTTTTTTGTAGTTCACTCAAAAGGTGAATGAAAGTCTTTTGCTCTCTTATTATTACTACAAAAAGATATTATTTAAAAGAGAAAACTGAATTTTAGTTTTATATTGGTATACTTTTGATATTAAGGCTCAATTTTGAAAACACTTATAATACATTCATTTAACCTGAGTCAGTTTAACCACACAAGATTTTCTTTTACATTTTAGCTTTCAATATTCATTTAGTTTTATCTCTATTTTTTAAATTTATTCCTTCATTTTAAAACAATATTTAAGTCATCTCTAAAATGGGAAATTTTTTTCTTTTAACAAAAATCACATTTTTATATCTTCTTTATAATCTTTCTTCCCAAAAATATATCTTGTTTTTCTTGTACCCTTTGCAGATGAAATTATTTATCTTATTTAGTAGTTTTAATCACACACATTAATGTAGTTTTAGTAGTTTTAATCACACACATTAATGTAGTAGTTTTACATTAATGTGTGTAGTTTTAATCACACACATTAATGCTAACCATATTAATATTGGAAATAAAAGGTCAGAGTCGCCAAGAGAACGAGCACTCAAACAGAGAACTTCTCAGCAAGGCAAAATGTACTTCTGCAGAAGGGTGCTGCTCATAGTTTTGGCTACTCCTAGAGCACCCCAAAGAAAAGAGAGGAGTTTTTATCCCTAATGCAGTCCCTACCTCTGTGTCACTCCCCACATGGGCTGGGGTCAGACCACACAATCTAAGCTGACCCGATTGGCTGTTTGTGAATATTTTCCCAAATAAGAAAGGGAAGGGGGATATAAGTTACAGGTCGAGGCTGGCGGGAAGAGTTGTTTACAAAGCAGTTAACTAAGCAGGTAACTAGGGGCAAGGAGGTACAAGGGAGTTGTTTTTAGGAACAAAGAACAAAGAAGTTGAACAAGCTAAACCTTTGAAGAGGAACTCACTGTACCTTGCAATTTCCCCCACCTTTGATTTTTATAATTCTTCCTTTTCAAATTTGTCTAACATATTTTGGCTTTGTTGTTCTTCTTGATTTTCTAAGAGTAACAGCTTATCTAAATATGGTGGGGGAGAATTGGAGAAGGTTTTAGTGAGAGCTGTTTCAATAAGTTTTTGCACCAATCCGCAGACACAGGGTATAATGCAGCACCCTACAAGAATAAGTACAGCTATTACAGTTGTAAGGGAGGTGAGGACTGAGGTCATGAGTGAGTCCCTTTCATTTGCCAAGCCATTTTCCCATTAAATTAGTGAAGAGGTTGTTTATTCTGTAATTTTCAGAATACCTTACCTAACTCATTGGCTAAGATAGTAAGACTTTGTAGAGCCTTTGTTATGGTTCCATAGGGGGTGGTGTTATTATGGATGAAAGTACAGCATTGGGTCCTAATTATGACATATACTGTACCTTTTTCAGCTAATATCATGTCAAGGGCTCTTCTATTTTCCCAGGCCATTTGGCTGGTAGGGCCTAATTGTTCAGCTATTCCTTTAATGGCATCTCTTATGTAATTGACAAATTGCTGTCAATTATAGTAAATGTAATTTATCCAATTTACATTTTTGTTTATAGTAGACCACCAGAATAATGCAGATTCAAATCCTGCAGCTACTTGATTTCGAGCTTTAAATTCATTTGGTACCCCTCATGGAACTCCGATGGCACCTATATAAATGCCAGGTTCAAAAGACCCATGAGGGGCACCTTCCATTTTTTGCAATTTTCCTTTCTGTTTGTTTGGTTGATGAAATGCCAGCGTAAAAGGAATGGCCAATTGGACTACAGTGCAAGTGCCGCTCCAGTTACTTGGCAGAGTACCCAACAGTGGTCCACCGCAATACCACCATACATCCGCCAGGGGATGAACAAGGGCAGACAGATTGGTTAGCTCCTGAAAAGGCTTGGACTCACTGCATCCCATTAGGCTTCCAAGGAATGCTAAATTTTCCCTTTGTCATGAGAGACACAAGGTAAAACTGACATTGCTAACCAGAGGCCGGAAGGCCCTTGGGGGCTGACCTACAGGGCCTTAAACTTCCAAGAATAGCAGCGAGAGAGTTCAGCATGCCTTACTGCCCCAAGCTGCAGGGTCTTGGAAGAGAGCTACCATACAACTCATACTCTGTTGGTTGGAGAACCATCCAAGTGGAAAGCGAACAATTTGGGTTTCTGGCCTGCCTGTGGCACAAGCGTAACAATAACTCTTATTTAGGGTGTGAACAGAATATTTAATCTATTCCAGCCAGGCATTTACATCTTGATACCCAGTTTCTATGGCTAGGGTTTCTTTTAAATCCTTAACTTCTACAATGTTTACTATAGTTTCGTCGTTGGGTATGTAAAGAACAGCTGTTTGATTGGAATAAGGTTTAGAAGGTGGAGGAAGGGAAGAGGGTGGAGGAGTAATGAAGTGCATTTCAAAGGATCCTATAGGGTCTATTCCAGGAACATCAGCTCCTATGCCATAGAAGCAACCTACAGTGGGGTTAGTGTTGGTAGAGGTGGTGACAGTAATAGAGATTTGCACAGGGTTACATTGTTGGAGTTGACAATTAGAGGGAGTTGTCTTTTTTGTAAAGTGGATGTAAGGGTTTAGGTTAGTGCAACCTCCTCCTGGGGAGGTCCAGCCTTGATACTTGATTGTTCAGACCACATCTCCCCAACCAAAACAGAACTTCCAATGACTGCCCTGTGCTCATTTGGTGCGGGAGTACTTTTCTGAAGAGGCTAGCTTTCTTTGGCTTTGGAATAAGATGTGAGACAGCTGGGGAGAAGAGGAAAAGGAGGAAGAAACAGATTAATATTTTCTTTTTAACATTACTCTGGTGGGAGTTGGCCCTGGGACAATGGTCCATGGCTTTGGAGAGGGCGATGCCTTTTTGACTCGCATATGATGCGTCCACCCCTTTTCAGCAGTTTGGACTGCAGTCTCAGTTGTGAGGAGCACCAGGTAAGGTCCTTCCCAGGAGGGCTCAAGCATTCCCTCTTTCCAGCTTTTGACAAGGACGTAATCTCCAGGTTGGCGCTGGTGAACTGGAAATTCGAGGGGTGGAGTCTGTGCTAGAAGACCTTGAGTCCTAAGGGAGGAAAAGGTGGAAGACAGACCAAATATATAGTTTTTAAGGAACTGATCTTTTGTTTCAAATGTAGGAAGGTTAGTAGTAGAATTTAACCCGTAGAACCATTGGTGGTTGTGTGGGATCCTACTTATAAGAGTGTAAGGATTGGGAACAACAGCATGGGTGGTTTGAACTATTTGATTAATAGCCCTTAGGTCTTGTACTAACCAATATGACCCATCTGGTTTCCTTACAGGCAATATGGGAGTGTTATAAGAGGACATACGGGGTTCAAGGAGTCCATCATGGACAAGTCTTTCAATTATAGGTTTTAAACCTATTCTAGCTTTTAAAGGAGTAGGTTTTGGTTTTCTTTTTACTACTTCCCCAGGAGTTTTTAATTTGACATGGATTAGAAGAGCCAGTAGCTTTCCTCGATTGCCTTCCCTTGACCAGATACTAGGATGGATATACTCTTCATCTAAGTAGTGAGTAAGTTTAGGGAGTTGAGAACTTTTCTCTGGTTAACATAGGGGCCTAAACCTAATTCTAGCATTAAATCTCTTCCTAGTAAGTTAGTTCCTGCCTCTGGTATTAACAAAAATTTTATGTTAGCTGATTTATTTTTGTATATGACTTTTGTTTCCTCTATAATTTTTGCTTTAAATTGTTCTCCCTTCACTCCTGAAATAAAGAGTTCTTCTTGTGAACAAATTACACCAGGTGGGGAATGACAAACAGAGGAGTGAGCCGCCCCTGAGTCGATTAAAAAAAAGTAATAAGCTTGGAGTTGGGTCCCACCTCTAAATTTATCAAAAGCTCTTGGTGGGATTCAAGATAGAAAAGACAGAGCCCCCTATTCTTCCTCAAAAGCCGTAAGTGGGATGACTTCCTTGTCTTTTTCCCACTTAGGGCATTCTCTTTTAAAGTGACCTGTTTTTCCACATTTGAAATATTTGTTTTGCCCTTTTCCTCTTTTTATTTCCTGGCCTTCCGTCTTGATTCCTTTGCCTCCTGTGTAGGGTCTGACAGCCAGGTATTTGGAAGGCTTACAGGTTCTATCTCCCTGGGCTCCCTGTTGAAGAGTCCCCTGTTGTAGGGTGGACAGCATAATTTTTGCCTTTTGCTTCTGCCTTTCCTCATCCCTTCGTACATATACCTTTTGGGCCTCTCTTAAAAGTTCCTCTATGGGACGGTCTTTCCAATTTTCTATCTTCTGTAATTTCCTTGTAATATCTGGCCAACTATTGGTGACAAAGTGGAGTTTTAACATCTCTTGTCCCAGGGATTCTTCTAATTCTGGGCCAGCATACTTTCTCATTTGCTCTTTAAGCCTACCTAAGTACCCCATAGGTCCTTTATCCTTTCTCCACTTTATATTAAAGGCTTTGGTAATATTCTGGGTGTGGGGCACCAATTCTCTAATTCCTTTAATTATCATTTCCCTTAGGTCTCTTTATTTCCTCACTGGACTATCGGAGGGAATTTTATTGTCTCTCTTGTACTTTTTATTTTCTGCCTTGCTTGAGATATTTCCCATCCTGAAAGTTTTAGGTGTTTCCCTGAGTTTTCTGGGTCTGTAGGGCTCAACCTCTCTACTAGAGATTTCTTGCACCCTTTGCCCTGGAGGCTCTGTGGGGCTGAACCTCTCCTACTAGAGATTTCTTGCACCCTTTCCCTGCAGGCTTAACTCCTCCACCCCCTCTCTGCCAGTGGAGGTTTCCAGCACTACCCTGCTTTCACTTCATACTCAATTGTGCATCTCATTCACACATATTCAACCACCAGGATGTCCTGACCACCAAGGAAGTACTTCACTGCCCCTGTGGTTTTTCTTACCTTGGTTTATGCACAAAGTTACCTGGTCATTGTGGTATCTGTAGGCCTTTTCATCCTGCATTGCTGAGAGTCCGGGTTTATTTGTCAAACTCGGTGGGTCTCAATTCCTTACCCCCAAGGCTGCCACAGTGAGGCAGCGGAACGTGTCTCCTCATGAGAGGGGATCCCGGAGGAGAATGGGATCCCAGACGAAGCCCTAGGTTGTTGGAAATAAGAGGTTAGAGTCACCAAGAGAACAAGCACTCAAACAGAGAATTTCTCAGCAAGGCAAAGTTTACTTCTGCAGATGGGTGCTGCTCATAGTTTTGGCTACTCCTAGAGCACCCCAAAGAAAAGAGGGAAGGGGTTTTTATCCCCAAAGCAGTCCCTACCTGTGTGTCACTCCCCCCATGGGCTGGGGTCAGACTGCACAATCTAAGCTGACCCAAATGGCTATTTGTGAATATTTTCCCAAATAAGGAAGGAAAGGGGGATGTGAGTTACAGGTCAGGACTGGTAGGAAGAGTTGTTTACAAACCAGGTAACTAAGCTGGTAACTAGGGACGAGGAGGTACAAGGGAGTTCTTTATAGGAACAAAGAACAAGAAAGTTGAACAAATTAAACCTTTGAAGAGGAACTCACTGTAACTTACATTAATAACAATTTAACTCTTAGTAACCTTAATTTCCAGTGAAAATCCTAGGAAGTGAGCAATTTGATCTGTTTTATATCAGTATTTATAGGTGAAAACCATGTTATAATTTTTAGAAAGTCATGTTTCCTCAATTTTTTGTTTCTTAACATATGCAAATATATTTTGCTTCTGTATACTATATAAAAGCAAGATGTTGGAATATATAAACAACTTATGTTTAATAATTCATGTGTCAGGATTTTAACTTGCTTAGAAATTATTCATATATTTAATGAGTATCTATTATTTAATTTAACATTACTTAAAGATTTTAAATTGCTGAAAGAGTTTTGAAACTCTAAGTTCAATGGTAATTTTAATGCCATTTGCCTTTACCTACATTATTAGTTCTTAACAATTATGCTTGGATTGGTTATTTTTAAAAAGCTGACTATTGAAGAAGTTTAGAAAATACTACACTAAAATATGTCACTTTGGTATATTATTGCTACCAATAGTTAAACAAAGCAAGGCTTTTTGAATTCCCCTTGTCTATTTTCCAAAGGAACTTAATTGTCCTTAATATTTTCCTTAGGTGTTCCAGGAACCATGGAAGATTAACTTTTATCACAGGAAAGGAGACTTCACATTCAGACAAACCTTGACACAAACCATTACCCATTCTTCCAAGGGTCCATTCATCTTTCCTAAAAACTATTTACTAGCTCGGCCTAAATACCATCATTTGCCAAAACCAAGGAAGGGAGGGTTTAGGTAAAGGCCTGGTTAAGATAAGATGGCCAGAAAAAGCACTTTAAACAATGTTTGTCTTGTTACAGAAATTTATGCCTTTTTCATTGTAAGTGTTTCCAGTGACTCAGTCCTCCTTCTGTTCCCAGTGCACAGAAGCAGACATCCTTACAAATGGAAATTTCTATTGTAAATGAAAATTTATTTTACAAAAGCACCTCAAAATAACCAGCTAAGTGCCAGAAAGGCGTATTTTAGAAACTGATTTTAGTTCCATAGGTGGTCTTTTTAACTTAGCTTCTGTTTCTTAGCTAAAATTACTCAGTTTAGGGTGGAGCCCATTAAGAAAAAAGGCAAAGAAAACATTGTCTATGCCTGGACTCAACACCAATAGCTCTGAGAAGGAAGCAAGCCTATGTATTTACCTGAGGTCCCATTATGTATAAACTTTTATTCAACTTGCTTTTTGCCTTTAGGACAGGATAGTAACTAAACCAACAGGTTAACACAGTCAAATTTTTAAAATCAATTAGTCACTCATGCTTTTTATTTGCCTTTTGTAAAAAGTCTTTTAAAAGGGGCAATAAAAATATAAAAATCTTTTTATAAGTTTCTACACATCAATAGGCATCCCTGGGTGAGCCTACTTTGGGAGCTGTCATTTTTAAGTGCATTTCTTAAAGTGTAGTGTTGTTCATTTGGAATGTTCCACCATAATTTAAAATTGCGTTTAGTAAGATTTTGCCATTTTAGTAAGCATTTGCTGCCTCTGGGGCCTAATACCTACATATATGTAAAGGTAGGTGTAGCATGAAGGTAGAGTAAGTTCTTCAGAAATTAACAGTCCCATTTTTATACTCTATCTTGGCTTTGCCTCTGTGATCTTTGTGATCAACTTAGCCAATGAGATTTCCCTATCTAAGCATGCAAGGAAAAGAAACAAAAAGAATAGAACACAAAATCCCTATGAATTTCTGGAAGCCAGAGTTTGCACTCCTTGCAGTATTGCCATTTGATGCCAGTTTATGTGTGACCCACTTATATATTTGAGGCTTATAACAAGATCCAATCCAGTTAATTTCTGGATCCAATCCAAAGCTAGAATCAGTCCAATTTCTGTCCCAAGTTTTAGCCCAGTGTGGATAAAAAATTTCCTTGAACAAACTCAGATAGCTCAAAATACAAATCTCTGAAGTTTTCAAATTTGACAAAAAACTTACCTTCCCCAGTTGCTGTGAGACAGCAACGGACACAGTGGGCTCATCAGGTACCTTGCTTGGCCACATGATGCTCCTGGGGGTCACCAGAAGCTCTACTTCAGATCCCACTTGTAAAACTTTAGACAAATTTAACAGAATTTAACCGAGCAAAGAATGATTCACAAATCAGGCAACCCCTCGGACCTAGAGTGGGTTCAGAGGAGAACCAGGGCTATCTTGTGGTTGAATAAAATTTATGGACAAAAAAAAGAAAGTGACATACAGTAAACATGTTGCAGGACTTTTCCTTAGTTTAGCTAAAGATGGGATTGTCTCATGGCCACAGAAATTTAGGCTCACAGACAATTTGAATGGTAAGACAGGGTTTTATTGGGTGAAAAGGAAGAAAAGGAGGAAACAGGGACTCTTGCTAAGCCACAGTCCCTACTAGAGTGCTTCCTGCCTGGCCGTTCGAATCCCAGGTTCCACAGGAAGAGGAGGGGCCAGGCTCCTCTCTGTTGCAAATGTCATGAACTTCCCAAGGCTCCACCTCAGTGGGCAGGCTGGTTGGAGTGTCTCCAGGGAACCCCTCCCACCTGGCTGTCTCAAATCAAGTGAGGTACAGAAACAGCTAGATTGGTTACAAATGGACATTGCCCTTATTTCAACCTGGCTTGAACAGCTGGCTGACTATGATTGACTGACATTTGGCTACTGTGATTGGCTAAGACTCTGCTACTTGTTAGACATGTAGGTTATAATCTCTTTACACATCAAGTTGGCTTGCAGTTTATCATGTATGGAGAAATCTTTAGGCTGAACTTAAAATATATAAAAAGTCAGCTTTAGGCCAAACTTAATTTAAACCTAGAAAATTGCCTTATACAGACAAAACCTTAAGATCATTTCAAATATCATACGTTCATCTTGACCCATTTATATCATTTCAGCACAATTTTCTTTAGTAAATGTATTTTCATATATTACAAACATTTCACTCAAAACTGTTCTACAACTAAAAGAAAGATAGTGTTCCACATAGAGAAGAAAGCATTTAGAAGTTGTTTCTTAAAAGGGTGGTGAGAAAACTACAAGTAAAAAAATTTTATTTCCTATGTTTTTATTTTATTGTCATTATTATATTTTTTGAGACAGGGTCTCATTCTGTTGCTCAGGCTGCAGTGCAGTGGTGCAATCTTGGATCACTGAAGGCTTAACCTCTCGAGTAGCTGGGATTACAGGTGTGCCACCACTCCCAACTAAATTTTGTATGTTTTGTAGAGGTGGGGTTTTACCATGTTGCCCAGACTATTTTGGCTTTTTGAAAAGATTTATTCTGGTACTCCCTTCCTTTCTGTCTCTGAGTTTGATTCTATACCAAGTCCTATCATTTTTCCTCCTGAATATTGTGACTTTAACTTTATTCCAATTGTCAATCGTACCATATCTATATCGTTTGATTGGTATACCCTTTCCACTCTTGGCTGTCTTCAATCTGTCAAGGTACCATTATTTACCTTTCAGATGAACAAAGATCTGAAGGTTTGACAACATACTTGATTGATGTAGCTATGTGAAAAAAAGTTGTTCTTACATACTGTTAGTAGGAATACTGTTAGTAGGAATTCAAACTGTTACAAACCCTAGGGAGGGTATATGGGCCATATGTATAAACCTTTCTTTTTTAAAAAATTATAATTTAATAAAGACAGAGTCTTGCTATGTTGTCCAGGCTGGTCTCAAATGCCTGGGCTCAGGCATTCCTCCCACCTTGGCCTCCCAAAATGCTGGGATGTGAGCCACTGTGTCCAGCCCAAAATTTCTCATACTTGTATATTTTTACCCAGCATCCACCGGTAGGAATCTGGCAAAAAATATGAAAACATATGTGTAACACAGTATGAAATGAATAACTTTGCAATGGAAAGACAGGAAACCACCTACGTGTCTATCAAGTGGAGAACGGTAAAATAAACTATAATACATTTACCCTTTGGGGTGCTGTAAGATAAAATGTGTATATGTGCCACATTTTCTTAATCCAGTCTATCATTCTTGGACATTTGGGTTGGTTCCAAGTCTTTGCTATTGTGAATAATGCCGCAGTAAACATACGTGTGCATGTGTCTTTATAGCAGCATGATTTATAGTCCTTTGGGTATATACCCAGTAATGGGATGGCTGGGTCAAATGGTATTTCCAGTTCTAGATCCCTGAGGAATCGCCACACTGACTTCCACAATGGTTGAACTAGTTTACAGTCCCACCAACAGTGTAAAAGTGTTCCTATTTCTCCACATCCTCTCCAGCACCTGTTGTTTCCTGACTTTTTAATGATCACCATTCTAACTGGTGTGAGATGGTATCTCATTGTGGTTTTGATTTGCATTTCTCTGATGGCCAGTGATGATGAGCATTTTTTCGTGTGTTTTTTGGCTGCATAAATGTCTTCTTTTGAGAAGTGTCTGTTCATGTCCTTCACCCACTTTTTGATGGGGTTGTTTGTTTTTTTCTTGTAAATTTGTTTGAGTTCATTGTAGATTCTGGATATTAGCCCTTTGTCAGATGAGTAGGTTGTGAAAATTTTCTCCCATTTTGTAGGTTGCCTGTTCACTCTGATGGTAGTTTCTTTTGCTGTGCAGAAGCTCTTTAGTTTAATTAGATCCCCGTGGCACATATACACCATGGAATACTATGCAGCCATAAAAAATGATGAGTTCATGTCCTTTGTAGGGACATGGATGAAATTGGAAATCATCATTCTCAGTAAACTATCGCAAGAACAAAAAACCAAACACCGCATATTCTCACTCATAGGTGGGAATTGAACAATGAGATCACATGAACACAGGAAGGGGAATATCACACTCTGGGGACTGTTGTGGGGTGGGAGGAGGGGGGAGGGATAGCATCGGGAGATATACCTAATGCTAGATGATGAGTTAGTGGGTGCAGCGCACCAGCATGGTACATGTATACATATGTAACTAACCTGCACAATGTGCACATGTACCCTAAAACTTAAAGTAAAGTATAATAAAAAAAAAGATAAAATGTGGTGTATTTCTTTAAACTACTATAACATGATTTCCGGGATACATGAGGTGTAAAAGACAAGGTGAAGAAAAGTACATAAAGTATGCTACCATTTATCCGTGAAAAGGGGGACATTGAAACATAAATGAGTATTGGCTTACATATTTTATTAAAAAATTATCATCAAATAGAAATCATTATATGGGTTGGGGTGTTTTGTATACACATACTTACATAACAGTGAAACAGAAGTAAATAAAAAGCAATACTAAAATCTAAAGCAAGATGAAACTGTATATCAAATTAGAGACACAATAATGGAGTTAAACAAGTGACAA
Source organism: Homo sapiens (assembly GCF_000001405.40). Classification (NCBI taxonomy): domain Eukaryota; kingdom Metazoa; phylum Chordata; class Mammalia; order Primates; family Hominidae; genus Homo; species Homo sapiens. The sequence goes on along the minus strand of NC_000005.10, from coordinate 152,714,713 downwards.
AAAACAATGTGATTTGACCATATATCCCTAGGAGTATATGCCCTATGGACAACCTAGGCTGCAACAGGACTTAAAATGGTTTTAAGCAATTATAATTTTGGGGGTCACTTTGGGACTTTTCTCTGGTCCATTAGGTGATTACAGCAAAAAGTGATTAGTTCGGTGCCATGAAAATCGGTGTTCTCAATGTGGGAGAAAGGAGATACACATGGAAGACTGAAAGGTTAGATAAAAACCCTGTGATCTCAAATATGAATTGAAAGCATAAACACAAATATTACATCTTTAAAATAAAGCTTTATCCATGAGAAGTCCTAAAAACAATGATCCCCCAGCACTATTATTACCTGTATTGTAATCTCCAAACTATTTCCCATAAAGGAACCAAAGTTTCTTAGGTAAACAGCCAAATTAATATCTGGCATAGTTAATGGACATGATGAACTCAAAATATTTTGTCATACCTGAAAGCAAGGAAGTGACCCCAGATTATTACCTGAAGTACTTTCTATTGCCTAAAAGTGAAAAAATTTGAGTATTAACTATTAATTGAATCGAAATGCAAACATGTTTAAATCTATGTGTTTAAAATGATACTTCAAAAGCCCTCATTGATAATTATTCTGACAACTTGTAAATTAAAGGAAAGAATCAACCATATATCTTCCTTCCATTTACAAACTATATGTCAGGGACCAAATAGTTAATAAGGGGAAAGTTTTTCTTTACAGGAGTATTTCAGCTAATAAATGAATGCAGAATGATTGTGTATCCTGAGGAAATAATGGTCTAAGCCATGATCTTCAATGGCTGTGAACCACAAGGAAAGACAACGCCTTGAATTACAGGGAACCACCATGAGGTTATTCTTGCCAAATGGTCAATGCAGAATCTGATCAAGCCCCTAATCCACCAATTATTTACAGAAAAATACAGGAGAGAGAGGAATGTATTAAATAACACCACGGGTAGTCGATCCGCATTTCAGGTCATGGGAAATTCTATAGGACAAAATGTTACTTCTCCAACAAATCAATTTAAAAAAACCCCAAAAATGTAGAAGGAACCCATAGAGAGAATGAGACTTAGGGTATATATCAACCAATTACAGTGCATGGACCTTATTTAATTTTTAAATTATAAAAAATTATCCATCTATACACACATATATACATATATTTGTTGATACATATTAGTTGGGAAAGTCTGAACACTGACTAGATTTAATAATAATATTGTTTATATTCTAAGTATGAAAATGGTTTTGTGGTTAAATTTTTTAAAGGAGACTTTATATTTGAGAATGAAAACTGACATATTTATAGAAGAAAAAAAATATATGTCTTGGATTTGCTTCAAAATAAGCCAGGTTGAGGACAAGTGCAAGAGAAGTTATACATAAAATAAGATTGACTGTAAGTTAATAATTGTTGAAGCTGAATGATAGATAAATAGAAGTGATTATTTCTTCCATTAAAAAAATCTTTCATTTAAAAAAGAGAGAGAGAGAGAAAAGAAAGCCCTGAATAGATTTGTCCTACTATCTTGCATCAACCCCCTCTCTGTCTCTTTGTGGGTGAACCACCCTATCCACCTTTACCTTATGAGCATCTTTCCTGCCTAGGGCTTTTCTGTGCTGTGCTGTCTATGTGGAGCACTCTTCTGCACCAATGTGTGCCACCTTAATGCCTGCTCCATCCTTCAGACTTTGGTTCTGCTTTTGCTTCTTCAAGGACATCTCTGACTTCTCTGATTTGGTCAGATCTCTCTGCTTTAGGCCCCTGTGTTATCATCTACCTCTGCTTTCTAACACTCACACACTTAGAATTTTGTGAAAATTTGTATTTCTGTTAGCCCCACTATGTTCTAAGGTACCTAAAGGCAAAAGCCATGCTCATTTTATTTAACATAACAGCCTGATACATCGCTCAGTACACAGTACTCTGTTTGCTGAATGTTATACCACATCTGTTAAAAATCAGGTAATAAGAAGCAAGAGGTGTACCCACTAGGGATAAAAACTGTTCAAGTTTCAATAAATATAGAAGAGAAAGTGATTTTTCTGGGTGGAAAAAGCTGGAGTAAGTTTTTCTGATTTTATTTCTTATGATATAAAAATGAAAATAAATTAATAAAAAGCTAACTACTGTTATTAGATATAAGTCTATTTCCAGTCCTAAGGATAGTAGGTATGATTGCAAGTGGAGAAGCAAAAGTGAGATGTAGTCTTCCGTGTCAATCTCAGGTTTAGGTTTTAATATATAGAAGAGAGTTTTTACGGCAACATGACTATGTACTTCTACAAAATTACCAATAATGATTCCAGAGATGGCTAGAATGTCCTACAGGGTAAAGTGACCTTTAAATAGAAAGGGCTGGTTGCATTCTAAGTTGCTTTGTGGATCTGAGAGATGACATACACTGAGAGACCAGTAAGCTCAGAATTGTGCATTTCAGTGGTTATTTCTGGTCTCTTTCCTGGAAAGCTCTACAATGTGCCATTATTATCTGGAACATAAGGAATGTGGCCTTCTCAAAACTTAAGAATTCACAGCACGGAATGTTGTTAATTACAGAAATATTGGATACATGCAGCTTCCTAGCTTCTTAAGTATTTTATGTTTTCTGTTGCAAAACACAATCCAGTTACTTGCTGAGATGCAATTCCTCATTCACACAGAAAACCAAATTGTCAGCAGTAGCTAGTTGGGATCAGTAAATCTTCTCAGGTTAGTACCTAGAAAGAAAGCAGGCTGTAAAAAGTTAATTGAGACAGACGTGTTTGAATAGGGAGCAGGGGAATGGCAGGCATTTTTATTCTTCTGCTTTAAGTTGGAACCATGTGGCAACTCTGCTGTAAAAATGATAATGTAAAGCCAGTTGTAGAATCTTAGAAATTCTTAAGCATAAAAACAAATCTGATTTATTTCAAAAATGGGTCATTCAGATAGGAGTTTTACTAGAAACAAGATGGGAAATTTAGGGCATTCAGTTGGAAGAAAATAAAAGTTAACCTCATGATAATGTGGAAGAAAATCTTAATAGTTTAGAAAGAATATGTTCTAAGAAGCATTTGGTGGGTCAAAAAACTACTAAGATTTAATGTCAGTGTTCTAGACCATTTCTCTTCCCCCTCCCACTCCCCCTTTTTTAACAACTCCAAAAGTTTCCCCAAATGGTTTATCTTCTAATGATTATAGTTTATTACAGTGGTTCTCAAACTTGAGTATAGGCAAGATTTATCTAGGGAACATCTTAGAAATGCAGATTCCTCTACCTTCTCCCTAGTAAATCTGATTTAGGAGGTCTGGATCAGGTCCTAGAGTCTGCCGTTTTGCTCAGTGCCATGGTGGTTTTAACAAATGTGTTACCTGGACTACAATTTGAAAAACACAGATGAAATGAAACCGACTGGGATATATGGCTAGAAACTCTTGAGCTGCACTAGCAATAAAATTACTATATCATAAAGCTAAGTAATGTCAGGTGCAAACTTATTAACTATTTGTTGAGTGATTAAGGGCTCTCAAAAGGAGTTTTAATACATAAACTTGCGTTATTTAAACTAGATTACAGTCCTATGAGTGCCATTAGATTCTGGCTGTGGGCTACCATCTCAAGAAAATAGGGTGAGTACTAGTGCCCCACACACTGCTATAGAGTTCAGTATTGGGTAGGTCAGTGTTTTAGAACAATATAATGCTCTGGTTAAGTGCATAGGCTTCAGACTCAGGTTTTTACATTCTTTGTTATAATGCTGTGGACTCTCTATACCTTTGAGAAATTCATTTAGCCTCAGTTTCCTCATCCTTAAAATAGAAGAGCCAGTGTCGCCTTTATAGGAATGCATAATGCTTAGATGAGAAAATGTTTATAACGTGGTAAGTGCAGTTCCTGGAATATTGTAAGCACTTAGTTTTTAAAAAGACACGTGTTTGGCCTTCATAAAGATAGACTATATTGTCAAGAGGAAGGCAATGACCCCTGGGAAACGGTTCTTATAATAGCCCAGTAAAACAGAGCTGAAGATTTGAAGTCTGGGTTTTTATGCACTTAAGACATATGGCCTTGAAAATCATGAGAAACAGTGATTGTCTCACCTAGTGACCATGGCTACACATACATAAGTGTTTTAAATGATTATTTTTAATAATTTGAGTAAAGTTAAAAAGTAGCAAAGACTACAAGAAGTGAAAGAAACCATACATATTACTGAGGCTTACCTATGTTGCATTTCAATATAACTATATCATTGCTGGACATGGAGAAGGTTTATTTTATTTATTATTATTTTTTTAACTTAGGCCCATACTTGCTCTCTAGTTCCTGGAATAAGACCCAAACAAAAAATATATTTTTTTGCCATGATCTTCAGGAAACTTTCTGGATTCTCTATTCATCAGAGAAGAACCACTCCGCTAAATTTTAACAATGGTTAAAATTTTATAGTTGGTAACATTTAACCATATGGGAGAGCACATTTGAAAACATTTTCCTACTACATAGTAACTATACAAAATATGTTGGTGATTATAATTACTATTTTATATTGCTATTTTACTTGTTAGATATTAAATGTGCTTCCTTAAAAACACTAAAAATTCCCCTAATAATCCTAGAACTGACAAATATCGATCTACCATTCTTTTTTGTTGTTGTTGTTGTTGTTGTTGTTGTTGTTTTGTTTTTGGAAATGTAGCCTCGCTCTGTTGCCAGGCTGGTGTGCAGTGGCATGATCTCGGCTCACCGCAACCTTCGCCTCCCAGGTTCAAGCAATTCTCCTGCCTCAGCCTCCCGAATAGCTGGGATTACAGGTGCTTGCCACCACGCCTGGCTAATTTTTGTATTTTTATTAGAGACAGGGTTTCACCATGTTAGCCAAGATGGTCTCAATCTCTTGACCTCGTGATCCACCCGCCTTGGCCTCCCAAAGTGCTGGGATTACAGGTGTGAGCCACCGCGCCTGGCCCCAATCTACCATTCTTTGTTGAATGAACATTGATTGTCAATCCAAATGGTGCTGTATTTCACTTCACCTTATTTCAGCACATTAAAGATGTCACTCCCTTGTCTTCCGATTTGCATAGTTTCTCATGAGAAGTATATTCTGCTTCTTATTTTTGCTGTTCTTTATAGAAGTTCTCTTTTTTTCTGTCTGCCTTCAAAATTTTCTCTTTAGCTTATAGCAATTTGAATATGATGTGTCCAGGCATGTATGTATGTTTGTTTCAGTATTTATTCTGTTTGGTGTTCTCTGAGCTCTTCAATCGGTAGTTTGATGTTGTTAAATATTTTTGAAAAGTATTGTCTCCATGTCACTCTTAACTATAGATTATGTTGTGCCAATAACACCATTTGATAACACAACTTTCATGTACTTTCACATCTGCGTCAGCACAATATTGATGAAAAGAGCAGTGCACTGATAGTCTTCCTGCTTGGGTTATAAGGCTGATTATAAAAAAACCTGTGAATTTTTTATCAAACTACTGTGCTCTCCTAGCCCTCAGTGACTTCACTGATGTGAGAGATTATATGAGGTGATTTTTTAGGCTCTTCTAATTCAGGAAGTAGTCTAAAAATTAGGAAGCAAATTGCATAAACTAATTGATACTAAGTCATGAATGGCCATTTCTGGACTTTAATAGTCATTTTCATTTTCAAAGAGGAAGTACCCCAAGGACCAAATGACTCACTAATTGAGGCAATTAAAGCTATACAATCAGGGGAAGAAAAGCCTTCAAGCAACCAGAAATTATACTATCACTTATTTCATCCATAGTACCAGTCCTGCCTTGTTTTCTCTTTTCCCAACCTTTCATTTGTTCATTCTGTTTATTGTTCAACTAAAGATTCTCCCAGACATATGCTAAAATCCAGAGAATATGTAAGATCATTTTTAAATGTAAGAATTCAAAATGCCAAAACTAAAAATAAATCTAGTGAAGAAGCAGGCAGAAGACCTTGCTGTGAGTCCATATGAAGAGGTATATTTGTGTAAACTTAACTCTCTATCCAACACACTATTACATGTTTCCTAGCACCTATTTTTATTCCAAGGCCCAAATCACAGTCGAAACAGTCAGTTTTGTACTTCTCCATAACACACAGTCAATGTAGTAGAGCCTACTGCAGTGTTTTTCAGCATAATCAGGAGCAAGCTGGAGAACTTAGAGCAGATGAAGAGGCATGAATAACCCTGTTCTCACTAAGGAAGAAGTGCTTTCATTTTGTGGCATACCTCACTCACTGGTCTTATGCAAACAGTTTGCTAGGGTAAATTTACCTGAGCCAACTGTGTCTTGATCAAGCCCCAATTTTAATGGAATCACTTCTACAATAAATCAACAAGAAATGACACATATTGTTTAAGAGTTGGGCATTAGATAAACCTGGATTTGAAATGTCTCTGTCCTTCACTACCTGTGTGTGTCCTTGAGAAGCTTATTTACTTAAGGGTAAGCTCCCTTTTCTGTAAAAAGATGGGGGCAGGGATGATTAATAATAATACCACCTCATACGCTGGTGGGGAGGGTCAAGTGGGATATTACATTTAAAGAAGTCTCTACTTAACAACAATAATGTGGTATTTTAAAGCTAGTTCTGATGCTTTCTGTAGTGGCCCAATGTTTTTCCTCTTTCTATAATAATTTATTTAAAAATCATAAAAGTCCTAAAGCTTGATAGGCTGTCTAATCTAAGTCTTAATCTTATCTTTAAGCTTTTACTTAAGAAGGACCAAATGTTATATATCTAACATCACATATTTAATCAAAATTCCTAGACTAAGGACCTCCTCAAGAACTACAAACCACTGCTCAAAGAAATAAGAGATGACACAAACAAATGGAAAAACATTCCATGCTCATGGATAAGAAGAATCAATATCATAAAAATGGCCATACTGCCCAAAGTAATTTATAGATTCAATGCTATTCCCATCAAACTACCATTGACATTCTTCACAGAGTTAGAAAAAAACTACTTTAAATTTCACATGGGACCAAAAAGAGCCCATATAGCCAAGATAATCCTAAGCAAAAAGAACAAAGCTGGAGGCATCAAACTACCTGACTTCAAACTTTACTACAAGACTACAGTGGCCAAAACAGCTACTGGTACCAAACTACTGGTAGCAAAACAGACATATAGGCCAATGGAACAGAACAGAGGCCTCAAAAATAACACAACACATCTACAACCATCTGATCTTCAAAAAACCTGGAAAAACAAAAATACATGCAATGGGGAAAGGATTCCATATTTAATAAATGGTGCTGGGAAAACTGGCTAGCCATATGCAGAAAACTGAAACTGGACCCCTTCCTTACCCTTACACCTTATACAAAAATTAACTCAAGATAGATTAAAGACTTGAATGTAAAACCCAAAACCATAAAAGCCCTGCAAGAAAATCCAGGTGCAGTACCACTCAGGACATAGGGATGGGCAAAGACTTCATGATGAAAATGCCAAAAGCAATTGCAACAAAAGCCAAAATTGATAAATGGGATCTAATTAAAGAGCTTCTGCACAGCAAAAGAAACTATCATCGGAGTGAAAAGCCAACCCACAGAATGGGTGCAATCTATCCATCTGACAAAGGTCTAATATCCAGAATCTATGAGGAACTTAAACAAATTTACAAGAATCAAGCAACCCCATCAAAAAGTGGGAAAATCTATGAGGAACTTAAACAAATTTACAAGAATCAAGCAACCCCATCAAAAAAGTGGTCAAAGACACTTCTCAAAAGAAGACATTTATGCGGCCAACAAACATACAAAAAAAAAAAAAAAGCTCAACATCACTGATCATTAGAGAAATGCAAATCAAAACCACAGTGAGATGCTATCTCACAGCAGTTAAAATGATGATTATTAAAAAGTCAAGAAACAATAGATGCTAATGAGGCTGTGGAGAAACAAACACTTTTACACTGTTGGTAGGAATGTAAATTAGTTCAAACACTGTGGAAGACAGTGTGGTGATTCCTCAAGGATCTCTAACTAGAAATACCATTTGACCCAGCAATCACATTACTGGATATAAACCCAAAGGAATATAAATCATTCTACTGTAAAGATACATGAACATGTATGTTTATTGCAGCACTAATTACAGTGGCCAAGACATGGAACCAACCCAAATGCCCATCACTGATTGATAGACTAAATAAAGAAAATATGGTATATATACACCATGGAATACTATGCAGCCATAAAGAAGAATGAGATCATGTCCTTTGCAGGCACATGGATGAAGCTGGAAGCCATAATCCTCAGCAAACTAACACAGGAACAAAAACCAAACACTGCATGTTCTCACTCATAAATGGGAGTTGAACGATGAGAACACATGGACACAGGGAGGGGAACAACACACACAGGGGCCAGTCAGGGAGTGGGGAATGAGATGAGGGAGAGCATTAGGACAAATAGCTAATGCATGTGGGGCTTAAAACCTAGATGATGGGTTGATAAGTGCAGCAAGCCACCATAATACTGTATACCTATGTAACAAACCTACACATTCTGCACTTGTATCCCAGAACTTAAAAAAATAAAAATTTCCTAGACTGTAATTCACTTTACCTAATTCCCAGACCAATGGCCATTCTTCCTTTTTACCCTGGTAGTAATCAAAAAGTTGCACTAAAAATTATGGTTTTGTGTAATGAGTATATGTAGAAGTTAAATTTATAAGTCCAGGAAATAGCAGAGTTCAAATACCAGCTCACCCACTCCCCAACAATGTGACTATATGGAAGTAATTTTACCCCTCAGTCCCTCAGTGTCTTTACTTATTAAATAATAAATAAAAGACCAATAAAGCAAGATCTCTGGTCAAGACATTTAGAAGCTCTAGAGTGAGGGAGAGGGGAAATCTGATGGAGGATGTCCTGACAGCTATGGCATTGACTGTGTTTGTGACAGGCAGAAGAAACTCATTTTGAAAGCAAAGGCAATAGATCCAGACTGTAAGGGTTGCAATGCTATTATCCCTACTATTTGCTGCCTGTGTAACCTTGGATGAGATGCTCAAACTTTCTGTGCCTCATCTTTGAAATGGGAATCATAGGAGTATCTAGTCCATAGAATTGGCATGAAGATTAAATAAATCAAAGCACTTAGAAATGAGACTGGCACTTTGCTATAAACAACAGCTTTTGTTAGTTGAATTTTATTTATTCATATGCCATTCATTTGTTTAAAAGTTTTAAGGTAGTTTTCGAAATGACATGCGATGCCTCTGACTTAGACCTCTTTTCAAAATCGTGAAATTCTGTAGCCCATCACCCACTAAACATTCTCATTTGCATGTCTTGCATTGTAGTTTAGATGCCCCAAATTGAACTTGCCTTATTTGTAAGGCCTCATTTTCTTCTGTAGATTTCTTTACCTAAGTTAATAGTAACCCCACACATCCAGGTGCCAAGACCAGCTCAGTCAGGGAGACCCTAACCCAGCGGCACTAGAGGAATTAAAGACACACACAGAGAAATATAGAGGTGTGAAGTGGGAAATCAGGGGTCTCACAGCCTTCAGAGCTGAGAGCCCTGAACACAGATTTACCCACATATTTATTAACAGCAAACGAGTCATTAGCATTCTTCTATAGATATTAAATTAACTAAATGTATCCCTTATGGGAAACCAAGGGATGGGCCAAATTAAAGGAATAGGTTGGGCTAGTTAACTGCAGCAGGAGCATGTCCTTAAGGCACAGATCACTCATGCTATTGTTTGTGGCTTAAGAATACCTTTAAGCGGTTTTCTGCCCTGGGCAGGCCAGGTATTCCTTGCCCTCATTCCTGTAAACCCACAACCTTCCAGCGTGGGCGTTAGGGCCATTATGAACATGTTACAGTGCTGCAGAGATTTCGTTTATGGCCAGTTTTGGGGGGGCCTGCTCCCAACATCCAGGTATCCAAACTAGTTCATGTGAATCCTTCTAGACTTTTCTCCTTACCTTCACTGTTAATATCTAAATAGTCACTGCGTTCTTCTACTTTTTCCCTTGTATGTATCACATTCACATACCCATATTTCAAAGAGTGAGTCCTATGAGGGCAGGGATCATAGCTTTCTCAAGTGTACTCATCCGCTGTCATGTAACAGTGAATCAGCCTGCTGTTAGCCATCCTGCCAGGGCCTAAGAGATTAAAGCCAGAACCTGAAACAAACTGAAGGTCTTCTGACCCCTTGAACTGAGAATTTTACCCCAGTCAGCATTTTCTTATCCAAACCAAAGCATGTCCTTGGCCACAAGGGAGAGAGTTGGCAGGAGGTCCCTTGAAAAGAACATGTTCTCATCACTGCAGCAACAGATCCTCTCCACTGCTGTACTTAAAGTTCAAGAGAGAGTCTACATGCTCATGGTGGCAATTTGTATCTACAGGAACCCTGAATTACCTTGATTTTTACCTCCTTGATACTTCTTAAATCCAATCATTTCTCTCCATTCTCATGGCCTCTGATCTAATCCAAGGTAGCATTATTTCTCATCAAATTATTGCCACAACCTCCTCCTCGTACCCCAATATCCTCTCTGGAGATCCCAAAAGCTCTTCATGCTTTTTGTTTTAAAATAGGAATTTACCTATGCTCCATCTTCACCTAAAACCCTTCAGGGGGTTAAAATAAAATCCAATCCTTTGCAATACTGACATAGCCCTGCATCTGGATTCTTGGCCTTATCTCTGCCTCTTTCCATATTTCTCCTTATTCTCCAGCCACAGAGGACTTTTTGCCTCCTTTCCAATCATGTTGCATCTTCATGAATGCTGTCACTTCCTTCTGGGAAGCTTTTGCCCAAATCCCATTAGTTTAAACCTTAATCTTCAAACTTCATTTTGCACCCATACCATTTCTTCACAAAGGTCTTCCTTGACAACTTCCTGGCGTCTTCCAATACTCCCTACTCAGTGATTCTCAGCTTGTGTGTGCAAAAGAATGACCTAAGGAGTTCTTTCTGTTTGTTTAAAAAATAGTTTCCTAAGTCCCATCCCCAGAGTGTCTATGGGTAGATCCAGTCATTGTGCATTTTTACCAACAAATATCCTTTGGGGTTTCTGACCAGGTAGCTCTCAGACTGCACTTTGAGAAGCTCTGAGTGATGTTAACTTACCTTGCTACATGGTGTCAGAATACCCTTCTTAATGTCTCCATGGAAATGCACATTGCTCTTTAAATTACTTTTTAAAAGTCTGTAGTACCTGCTCAGTGCTTTATTACTAGGGTAGCATTGCAGTTATAATCTTTATGCCCATAGCATAATAGGTATTTAATATTTGTTAAATTGATCATTATTTTGTGGAATACTTAATAATTTATAAAGAACAATACAGATGCTCCTCAACTTATGATGGGGCTACATCCTGATAAACCCATCATAAGTGGAAAATATCATAAGTCAAAAATGCATTTAATATTCCAACGAATCCCTAAAGTCAAAAAATCGTAAGACAAAACATCTTAAGTTGGAGACCATCTGTACATGTAAGCCAAGCAAACCGAGCCTTGAGAATAGAGTGTATCCCACTGCATCTAGGTACTATGTTTGAAATCTTGGGAAGCTCTTGACTTTTGAAAAATGGCTACTCAGCTTGCTAAACCTCGTTTATTTCATCTGCCTCTACGTAGGTTCCTCCTTCTCCTCTGCATGCCCTGGTGACACTTAAGGTTTAATTGAATAGTGAGGTTCCTGCCACCTTCCAGGGCTCTGATGAACTGTCAAAACAGAAAACTCCAGGGACAAAATGCTGCCACCAACAAAAAAACAAGAGGCTCATGGTGATCCGAGCACTTCACAGCAGTGCTGTGCTTTAAGGGGTCAGCCTTTATGGGTGAAGGATGGTTGATGTTTTAAAAAAAAAAAAAAAAAAAAAAAAAAAAACCTGAATCAGCATTCTGAAGGCTTCCTTTCCAAGGAAGCATTTAGCTAGGAAAGTACTGAGAAAGATACACTAAGTCTCAAATATGCTTCAGGTTACCAAGAGACAGCATTTCTCCCAGGTCATGCTGTCACCATGATAGGGTGGAAAGTGTAAAAGGCTCAGAAGATCTGAGTTAAAATCCCGAATGAACTAAGGTATACGGCAGTAGTTAGTGAGTGGACAGTTAGAACCACTGAAAAATGAAGTTTCCTGAGTCCACCTCCATAGACTTGATCCAGTGGAAAGCGAGGCGGCTGCTAAAAGTCCATTTTCAAAAACTACTTCCCCAGGAAATTCTAATGCTAGTAGTTTTCAGACCACATCTTGAAAGCCTACTGTTTGGACTTGGGCAAGTCAGGCACTCTCTGAGCCTCAGTCTTCTCAACTACAAAATGGAGATGAAAATTTCCCAGGGTTGATTTAGGAAATCCTGAATTTTGTGACAGTCATAAAGTACTCTAAATATATAGAGATTTTGTCATTAGAATTACTGATAATAGTGTTAATGTCGAGAAATGTATGAATTATAGATGACTTATAAATTATGTAACCCAAGGGAGTAGTTAACAATTAGAATTTGAAGATCTACTTAATTTGTGAGGGACAAGACACATCTGTCTTAATTTATGTTGTATCTCCAGGGCTGCCATAGAGTAGATGCTCAAAAATACTATTGAATAGGAAAAGAAATGCTTTCTCTTTGATAACTAGGGGATGACTTACAACTCCCTCAAATGCCTCCAGAGGCTTATTCCCCTTTCCTTCACCAAGATCAGCCCTGAATGTGGCAAAACTTTAGGAATCTGCAGGGACACTGACTTTGCTGACTTAAGACCCTTCTTTACTGTCTTAGGTCTGTGGAGTCACCTGTGTTCTGGATTTGTCTTCTGGAAACACTCAGAACATAGAACCACGTATTTAGGGCTGAGGAGGATTTTCATGAGAAGTGTCTCCTTGAAACTGCTTTTGCTCTTTGTAAAAAAAGAGACAGAGGATCCCTAGCTGAGTGTCAGAGATAACCTACAGCAATTCTCTGAGGTTATCAGCTTCTCTTTCCCCAGCCATCCTTTTATGCTTACCTGTACTCTGGCACCTGATGAGCCCACTGGCAGAGACAAAATTTCCCAACCTTGACTTGTGTTCAATAAAAGGCACCATGTCAGGTAGGAAAAACAGAGAAAAATCAGGTGGGTGGCTTCAATCTGCAGAGGCAGAGCTGGGAACTTGCTGACCGCAGCAGGAGTGGCTACATTGCCATGGCAATGAGCAAGCTGATCACTTCAGCACCATCACTCACTCCCTAGCCATGGCCTTTATGGGAACAAAGGAAACACATGTCTCTCCCAAGGGCTTTGATATTAATACAGGGGCTGCTTTCTCTATAAGATGACTAAATTTATGGTCTATTTTAGTGTTATGTTACTATCTTTCAGAGGCTTTTTTAAAATCTCAAGGAATCAGTTAAAGTCCAGCTAATTCTGTTGTAAGAAAGAATATTTCTTTCCTTTTAAAACTCTATCGTACTACTTATATTTATTTGTAAATATTTACTGAATATAAAATTAGAGAAATATTCTATCCTCAAGTCTCTACAGTCTAAAAATGAAATAAGACATGAGCAAAAATCACTATGATGAAAAAAAAAAAGTATGCCCTGGGTAATGTTCTGCAGACTCTTTGCATTCATGGATTTAATATTCATAATTTCAACAATTCAAAAGTTCCTGCAGTGGCCCATGGCAGTATAGAACTTGAGGAGATGATTGAATCCCCTGTAGGGTAAGACTAGTACGTGCAATGAATTGCAGCATTGGTAAATGAACTAAGTTGCCTTCCCAATACCTCTGCTTCAAGGTGTCCTTATTGCTTCCTATTCACTGCCATCTACATGGTAGTTATCAGTAAGCATCTAAAGTGTTGACACATTTTTTTTTATTTTTTTATTTTTATTTTTATTTTTAATTTATTATAATTATACTTTAAGTTTTAGGGTACATGTGCACAATGTGCAGGTTAGTTACGTATGTATACATGTGCCATGCTGGTGCGCTGCACCCCCTAACTCGTCATCTAGCATTAGGTATATCTCCCAATGCTATCCCTCCCCCCACCCCACAACAGTCCCCAGAGTGTGATATTCCCCTTCCTGTGTCCATGTGTTCTCATTGTTCAATTCCCACCTATGAGTGAGAATAGGCGGTGTTTGGTTTTTTGTTCTTGCGATGGTTTACTGAGAATGATGGTTTCCAATTTCATCCATGTCCCTACAAAGGACATGAACTCATCATTTTTTATGGCTGCATAGTATTCCATGGCGTATATGTGCCACATTTTCTTAATCCAGTCTATCATTGTTGGACATTTGGGTTGGTTCCAAGTCTTTGCTATTGTGAATAATGCCGCAATAAACATATGTGTGCATGTGTCTTTATAGCAGCATGATTTATAGTCCTTTGGGTATATACCCAGTAATGGGATGGCTGGGTCAAATGGTATTTCTAGTTCCAGATCCCTGAGGAATCGCCACACTGACTTCCCACAATGGTTGAACTAGTTTACAGTCTCACCAACAGTGTAAAAGTGTTCCTATTTCTCCACATCCTCTCCAGCACCTGTTGTTTCCTGACTTTTTAATGATTGCCATTCTAACTGGTGTGAGATGGTATCTCATTTTAGAATGTTGAATTTTATGCGGAAAATGATAACATGGTTCTTGAAGATCTCATAGTCACTTTCAAATATCAAGGTAATGTTGAATGTTAAATTTAGTGAAGGTAGAAGTTCATCTTGTTAGGAAGGGAAATGTTGGAGAGATACTTTATGGAGTAAATGACATTGAAATTGGCTTTTAAGGGTGTAAACATATAAAAATAAGGCAGAATTTTCATATCCTGAGGAAGAGCATAAAAATTTGAAGATATTAAAATGGCAATGATATACCACTGTATATCTATTAGAATGGGTAATACTGTAAAAGATAACAATACCAAGTGCTGGCAAGGATTCAGGACAACAGGAACTCTTATTCCTTGCTAGTGGGAATGCAGAATGGTACAGTCACTTGAGAAAACAGTTTGTCATTTTCTTCCAAAGCCAAATATAGTCACAATGCTGAGGTTTTTCCAACTGTCTTGAAAACTTATGCCCACACAAATGCCTACACACGGATGTTTAGGACAGCTTTCTTCATAATTGTCAATAAATGGAAGCAACCAAGATGTCCTTCAATAGGTGAATGGTTAAACAAACCAGGAGATTCATACAGTACTGGATTATGATCCAAAGTATAAAATAAAAATTAATGAGTTCATACTTACATAAATAAATGGCTGAATAAAGATTTGAGGGAGAAGAAACAAATCCCCCATGCAGAAGAATTCCAAATAGCCTATGTAGATATTCCATCCTCAAGGGGTGGGAGCAAAACTTCCTACTCCTTAAGCATGGACTATAGTGACCTTCCTTCCAAGGAACACAGTAGGGAAAGTGTGAAAAAGCATAACTGTATAGTACAGAAATCTAACCAACACTTCATGTTGATAGTATATACTAATATGATATGATGCAAATGGCACTTTATCTCTGTGGTCCTCTTCCCAGAAAATCCCATCACCCCAGTAAAACTATGAGAAAAATACCAACCAAATTTCAGTAGGGGGCATTCTATGAAACCTGACTGGTATTCTTCAAAACTGTCAAAGTCATCACAAATGAAGAAAGTCTGGACCAGGAGCTGTGGATCACGCCTGTAATCCCAGCACTTTGGGAGGGCAAGGTGGGCAGATCACTCCTGAGGTCAGGAGTTCGAGACCAGCCTGGACAACATGGTGAAACCCCCGTCTCTACTAAAAATACAAAAATTAGCTGGGCATGGTAGCAGGCACCTGTAATCCCAGTTACTTGGGAGGCTGAAGCAGGAGAATCGCTTGAACCTGGGAGGCAGAGGTTGCAGTGAGCCAAGATCGCGCCATTGCACTCCAGCCTGGGTGACAAGAGCAAAACTCCGTCTCAAAAAAAGAAAGTCTGAGAAACTGTCACAGTGACGAGGAGCCTCAGGAGGCATAACACCTAAATGTGGTATTCTGGATGGGATCCTAACAATAGAACTACCGTAAGATTCAGCAATCCTACTGCTAGGCAGATATCCAAGAGAAAGGATATCAGTATAGAGAAGAGATATCTACACTCCCATGCGTATTGCAGCACCATTCACAATGGCCAAGACATAGAATTCACCATAGAATTCACTTAGGTGAATATGTAATATATAATACATATATATAAAATATATGTATTATATATAACACATATATACGTATATAATATATTATATATATTATATATGTATAATATATATAACACATATATTATATACGTATATTATATTGTATATGTACATGTATACATATACATGTACATATACATATATGCATATATGTATACATATACACATGTATATGTATATGTATATACGTATATATGTATATGTATTTACGTATATATGTATAATATATTATACATATATATAATATATTATACATATATATGTATAATATATACATATATATGTATAATATATACATATATATGTATAATATATACATATATATGTATAATATATATTATATATATTATAAATGTATATTTATTGATATATAAATATATATAGTATATTTTTATATATTATAAATATATAAAATATATTTATAATATATTAAAATATATAATAAATATATAAAATACATATAAATATATATTTATATATAATATATATAAATATAATATATAATATATACATTTATAATATACATATATACATATATACGTATATATGTATATATACATATATACGTACGTATATATGTATATAATATACATATATACATATATACATATATACATATATATGTATATAATATACATATATACATATATATGTATATAATATACATATATACATATATATGTATATAATATACATATATACATATATATGTATATAATATACATATATACATAGTATATATGTATATATACATATATATTATGTATATATATTATGTATATATGTATGTGTATATATGTTATATACATATATACATATATATTATATACATATAATATACATATATTATATACATATAATATACATATATTATATACATATATGTATATATACATATATAATATACATATAATATATAATATATATAATATATAATATACATATATAATATATAATATATATAATATATAATATACATATATAATATATAATATATATAATATACATATATAATATATAATATATATAATATACATATACAATATATAATATATATAATATAATATATAATATATATAATATAATATATAATATATAATATAATATATAATATATATAATATAATATATAATATATAATATATAATATATATAATATAATATATAATATATAATATATAATATATATAATATATATTATATATAATATATATTATATATTATATTATATATAACATATAACATATTATATATAACATATAACATATTATATATAACATATAACATATTATATATTATATATAACATGTAATATATTATATATAACATGTAATATATTATATATAATATAATATATATGTATATAATATATATACACATATATACATATATACGTGTATATATGTATATATGTATATATAATATACATATATACATTTATAATATATATAATATATAATATATATTATATATGTGTTATATATATTACATCTATATATTATATATGTGTTATATATATTACATCTATATATTATATATGTGTTATATATTACATATATATGTATATATAATACATATATAATATATAAAAATATATATAATATATGAATATGTAATATATATACACACATATACACACAATGATATACACACACAATGAAATACTATTCAGCCATAAAAAGAATAAAATCATGTCATTTGCAGCAACATGGATGGAACTGGAGGACATTATATTCAGTGAAATAAGCCAGGCAAAGAAAGGCAAATATTGCATGTTCACACTTATAAGAGGAAGCTAAAGATGTATAATGTATAGAGGTGGAGAGTAGAATGGTGGTTACCAGAGGCTGGAAAGGGGAGAGGGTCAGGAGATGAACAGAAGCTGGTCAAAAGGGAACAAAAATACAGTTAGATAGAAGGACTAAGTTCTAACATTGGATAGCGCAGTAGGGAAATTATAGTTAACAGTAATTTATTGTATATTTCAAAATAGCTAGAAGAGAAGAACTGTAATGTTTCTAACACAATAGGATGAGAAATATTTGTGGTGATGGATATCTTAATTATCCTGATTTGATTATTACAAATTGTATGCATGTACCACTACGTATGTACCCCAACATATGTATAATTGTTACAAATCAATTAAATATATTTTAACAAAGAAAAAGGCCATTAGGTAAAAACTGAAGAAATCTGGATAAAGTATGGACTTTAATAATAATGTATCAATATTAGTTCATTCGTTGTAAATAAAAAATACCATGTTCATAGAAGATGATAATAATAAGGTGGGATATGGGACTTCCATGTACTATATTCTCAACTTTTCTGTTAAAATAGTTTTTAAACCCTTTTAAAAAGAAGAGAAGTATCTGGGGAACAGTAAAGAGTTGGGCTGGAACAAGGACTGTGTATAGTGGAATGGTGGGAAATCAGGTCGGGGGGTCATATCATAGAAGGCATTAGGTGACAGACAGTGGAGGTTGACTACACAAAATCACATTTACAACCCATTTCTTTGCCCAACTTCTTCCTAGAGGCTGGAAAAATGAAAAACTACTTTCTCCTTGAGGGATGAATAAATTGCACAGTTATAATAGAAAATGTCTTAGGAAAAGCCATCTGGGAAACTTCTTGTTTTCCTGAAAAACGGGTTAAATGTCACTTTTGTTACCATTTTCACTTTCTATGCCTTGAATATTTTCATGCTGCCTGGTTGTACAGCCACGGTCTTATGGCCATAAAGCTATAAGGGAACATACTAAGGGTAGTGAGAGTAAACATAGAAAGATGTTCTGTCTTTGATACATCTTTGCACCTGCTGGGTCAAGATTGCTTACCTCTCAGCATCTTGTTGTATGACCTTATTGAGTATCTTTATTGCTTAAACTTCTGCTCATAAAGCATTTTGTTGGTTGAATCTGAAAGTATCCCTAATGGAAAAATATCTGAAGGCCAAGGTAAAGAGACAGGATTTCATTTACTAGACAGTGGGAAGCTCATCTGGACACTCCATTTATTCACTCCTTCATTTGTCTCTTGTCATTGAAGCATTTAAGTTTTCCAGTTTGACCAATGTAATAACAGTCTACTATGTGCCAGTCACAGTTCCAGGTTTTAGGGATATACTGGGGAACTAAGCAATGTCTCTTTACATAGTTTGGGGAAACAGATACATTAACCCATTAAGTGCTTTTAAGTGCTGAGAAGAAAAATGAGGCTGGGTGAGAAAAGAGTGATGAGTGTGGTTTAGAGCAAATTCACATTTGACAAGAAGCCTAAATAAAATGAGGATGAACACCACGTGTATGCTAGGGAAAAATGTCTCCACATAGGGGAACTGCAAGGGCAAAAGCCTTAACATGCTTTAGCCATTATTGTGTTTGAAGAACAGCAAAGGGATAGTGGGGCCAGATCAGAGTGAGGTAAGATGACAGGTAGCAGAAAATAATGTCAAGCAAAAAAACAGAGCCAGGTCACAGACAGCCTGTAGGTCATGGGAGGGCTTTGGCTTTTACTCTGAATGAGATACAAACCCACTAGAGCCTTTCTGAAAAAGAACTAAAATGATCTGACTGACCTTTTAACAAAAATGGAGAAGGGGATGTCAGCTGGGGTTATTGCCATTCCAATAGTCCAGGCAAAAGTGGTAATTTCAGGAGGAGTGATATAGTAGAAATAGTAGGTATCAGGTAAAATCTAGAAAAATGCTTTTGTATATATTTCATCTTGTAAACTAAATTGCAAGGTCAGAATGAACAAGAAACATATCTTAAGCTTTCTTCACATCTTTCTTAGTCCTGGCACATCATGTATGCTCATTAAATACAGATTGAATAAAGGAATACAATGTTTAAAGGAAAGCAATTTTTAAAGGGAAGAAAAAAAAATAGGAGGAGGAAGAAGTGGAGCTTGGCTTGGAGGATGGTCAAGATACCAGATGTAGGGATTGTCAGGACCTATTCTTCCTTGGGAGCCCATCTGGCCAAGCATTCAGAAATAGCCCCTGCACTTACAGCCCAGCTCAGCCACACTTGACTCTGTATTTTTCACAAAGCTGTGCCTACAAGGGGTGGGTACTAGCTGAAAGGCTAAGTGAAAACAGCTTGGGAAAATCTTAGTTGCGAAGTGTCAGCAGATACAATCCCCCAGCACTTAGTGATTCACAATTGCTTTAAAATGTGGCTGAGAAAATGTATGATCGAGTTCCCTTAAGTGTGATTTGTGAGGGTTATTTGGGGGCAATCAACATGTTATTTCTGCAAGGCTTCCTTCTCAGGCACAATTCCTATTTTGTTTGATGAGAGGTTTTTTTTTTTTTTTTGAAGGCCCTTGGACATGATCTCTTATTATGTGGATAATCAGCAGAACCTGCTCATCCCTTAATGCAAGCAACTGAAACCAACAGTCATAGCAGCTAAGATAAAATCATAGCTTTACTATGGAGCCCATTAACTGGGTAGAAACTACATCCTGGGGTCATAAATAGTTATTAACCAGTTAATGATAGTGATAGTCAAATCATTGCATTTACATCTGATGAATAGGGATGAGCCTTCTTTGGTTTTCAGCTCTCAATTTTTTCTAGTGCTTTAATATTCTGGGCAGTAGAATTTCCAAAGTTAAAAAGACAAATATCCTCCCACCTATCTTGAAGAGAAACAGTGAATAAAATCAGTAAAGAATTATGTAAGTTTTCCTAGACTATTCCACCTTACCTTCCTGTCATCTTTATATTCTTAAGGTGCTTATATCGTATTGGAGGCAGAATTGAGACTAGAACCAAGTTGCCTGACCACTCAACTGTGGAACTCTACATGCACAATTTAACACTTCTAAGGTTCAGTTTCCTCACCTGTTACCTGAGGGGATTGGGCTAGCTCAACTTCAAGCTCTCTAATGAATCTTCTATACTATGCCCCCAAGACTTTATTCTGAATGACAGAAACATATCAAAGTGTAGCCTTCTTGTGTTCTCTCTCATGCCATTTTGTGAATCTGATGTGTTGTCCTATTTTTCTTAATGGCTTCTGCATTGAGAAATTTAAAATACTTGTTAAATCTTGCAATGACGCTTCTCCTCCAGTGGTAGACACAAATTAACCCACAATATATTGCTTTTGGTTGATTTAATATTCAAAAATATGTATTTTAAGCTAGTTTTCCATTTTGTTTAATGAGGGACTTAGGCTTTCATTGGAGCTACTTGGACTAGGATATAGCATTTGCTTTATCCTTTGTTTCATTGGGCTTTATGGATATGGCATTTTTTACAAACTGAAGTTCTGTGACAACCTTGCTTTGAACAACTTTACTGGTGCCAGTTTTTCCACCAGCATGTGCTCACTTTGTGTCTCTGTGTCATATTTTGGTAATTCTCACAACATTTTAAACTTTTAAATGATATCTGTTATGGTGACCTGTGATCAGTGATCTTTAATGTTAATAATTCTTTTGGGACACTACAAACTGTGACTATAGGAGACAACAAACTGTGTGTTCTAACTGCTCTATAGGTTGGCCTTTCCCCAACCTCTCTCTCTCCCTTCTCCTTGGGCCTCCCTATTCCCTGAGAAAAGAATATTGAAGTCAGGCCAATTAACGACTCCACAATGGCCTCTAAGTGTTTAAGTGGAAGGAAAAGTCACATGTCACTCACTTTAAGTCAAAAGCTAAAAATGATTAAGCTTAGTGAGGAGGGTATGTCAAAAGCTGAGACAGGCCGCAGCTTGGCCTCTTGTGCCAAACAGCCAAGTTGTTAATACAAAGGAAAAGTTATTGAAGAAAATTAAAAGTGCTACTCCAGCGAACACACAAATGATAACAAAGTGAACAGCCTTGTTGCTAATATGGAGAAAGTTTGAGTGGTCTGTATAGAAGATCAAACCAGCCACAACATTCCCTTAAGCCAAAGCCTAATCCAGAGAAAGGACCTAAATCTGTCCAATTCTGTAAAGACTGAGAGAGGTGAAGAAGCTGCAGAAGAATTGGAACCTAGCAGAGATGAGTTTGTGAGATTTTATAAAAGAAGCCATCTCCATAACTGAAAAGTGCACTCTGAAACAGCAAGTGCTCCTGTAGAAGCTGCAGCAAGTTACCCAGAAGATCTAGCTAAAATTATAGATGAAGGTGTACATGAAACAACAGATTTTAAATGGTGAGGAAACATCCTTCTGTTGGAGGAGATGCCATCTGGGACTTTCATAGTTACAGAGGAGAAGTCAATGCTGGGCTTCAAAGCACAGGCTGAGTCTCTTGTAAGGGCAAATGCAGCTGGTTACTTGAAGTTGAGGCTGATGCTCCTTTAGCATTCAAAAAATCCTAAGGTCCTTAAGAATTATACTAAATCTGCTGAGCGCAGTGGCTCACACCTGTAATCCCAGCCCTTTGGGAGGCTCAGGTGGGCAGATCGCAAGGTCAGGAGTTCAAGACCAGCCTGGCCAACATGGTGAAACCCCATCTCTACTAAAAATACAAAAATTAGCTGGGCGTGGTGGCACATGCCTGTAATCCCAGCTACTCAGGAGGCTGGGGCAGGAGGATTGCTTGAATCCAGGAAGCAGAGGTTGCAGTGAGCCGATATTGTGCCACTGCACTCAAGCCTGGGTGACGAGCAAGACTCCATCTCAGTGGGGGGGAAAAAGAATTATAATAAATATACTCTGTTTGTGCTCTAGAAATAAAGCCTGCATTACAGCACATTCGTTTAAAGCATGGTTAACTGATTATTTTAAGCTCATTGTTGAGAACTGCTCAGAAAAAAATTCCTTTCAAAATGTTACTGATCATTGACAATGCACCTAGTTACCCAAGAGCTCTAATGGAAATTTACAAGGAGAGGAAGTATAGTGTAAGCATAACTTTTATATGCACTGGGAAACAAAGAAAATTGTATGACACACTTTATTGCAATATTCACTCTGTTGCAGTAGTCTGGAACCAAACCCACCATATGTCTAAGGTGTGACTGTATAAAAAATAAAATGTGATCCACAAATATCATTGAATGGTACAAGTATTTAGAAGTCTTATGGTTTAGAAATTTCTAAAAACATTAGAGAAGATTAAAATTATTTTATTAATAGTGAACTTGCAAATTCTCTTCCCTCACTAAGAGTTATTAGCCCAAATACGAACACATGTGTTCTGTACTCAGGCACTATACAAGTTTTATTACTGAGGGATAAAGTTTTACATGTATATCACTATTAACAGGCACTTAGGTTTATTTATCACTGGCTACATGTACAGACCTACTAAGTTGCAAATGGCATAAGATACACTGGGAAGAGGACGACAATACGATCATTGCCCTCAAGTGTCCTGAGGTTTAGTTAAGACTACCAGACTAAATAATTAGAAAACAGTGTAACTATATAATCAATACTTGTTTTGAGTTCTGGCAATAAATGCTATGGTGTTTTCTGAGTGTGTAGAAGATTAAGGAAGGCATTCTTGGCATTGGAAGACCTTGAAGCTGGCATGAGACTTGGACAAGTAACAAGCAAAGCATAGGAAGGACACCCAAGGGCAAGAAGGCTTTACTTTCAAGTTTATTCTTGCACCTCTTTAAAGAAAAGTCTCATTAAGAAAACTTATGAAAAGTGTCAATTGTTTTCCCAGTTTACTTCCTACTCTGCTTTCCAGAATGCAAAGAAACAGGATTAGACTAATGTCCAGTTCTCATGACTTATTCAGTTCAAGCCACCACAATTGCAAGTTCCTTTCAACCACAACCTCACTCAAAATGCCAAGAGAGGAACACTGAACATTCAGCTTTTGTCTTACCCTCTTCTGAAATTGCTTCTCTTTTTTTTTTCTACCTAGCCTTCTCCTGCCTCACACTCCAAGACGTTAGGATCAAAGGGCCTTCTCAAGTAACAGAAGGGTTGAGCTGTGCATCACACAAATCAAAGGGACACACAGAACACGATAATCCTTGTGTCCCTCCAACTTTGTGACATTATCACCTAGGTAGATATTTGGGGGCAGGCGTGGTAGAACAGAGGAAGAAATAAAATGAAAAGAATAGCATTCTTTTTAGTGTAGAAGGATTCTTGTCATTACTAACACTTGTTGACTTTTTAACTGAAGCAAAATTATAACTGTATTTCCAGGGTTACCCTCTATCATCTCCCAAGCCTTGTAAGTAGGCACCTCTTTAGGGCTGCTGAGAGAATGGTATGTGAGATTCTCCCAAAGTTATGTAAGGTTTAGGGGTAGAAGGAAGAAACTACATGTGCGGATCAGTCCAATTTCCCTGAAGTTAAGGAGGTTTTAGTGGCATAGGTGAAGACAAATTTGCCTCATAGAGTGCTGCAGCCTGGAGACAGGTAACCTTTAGCAGATTACAGTCACTCTCAGCTTCACTGTGCTTCACAGGGATGTGTCAGTACCCATCTCACAGGATGTCTGCGAAGACAGCACAGGAAACGCATTGTGCAGGGCCTTAGCATATAGTACTTCATGAAATGTTAGCTGCTGCTGTTACTGATCATTGTGTGTGTTTAGCATCTTGCAAGAAAATGCCAACAACATGGGACTTGGAATCACAAAACCCTGCTTTGAGTTTCAGCTTTGGCAATAACTGCATGGAATTGGGTTAGCAACTATTTATTTATATGAACTCAATTTTTTAAAATAAAACCTAAAAAATGAAGAATACTTCCTTTTAGCTTTACCTCATAGATTTGTTTAGAACCTCAAATAATGAGCACGTTTGTGCTTTGTAAACTGTGAAGTCCTTTCGAATTGTACTTGCTTTATCCTCGACCGCACATCTAGCTGAGCCTGGGCCCATACAGCCTTGGCCGCTTTCCCAAGAGTGTTTCCTATGCCTCCTTCCTGGAAGTCTGACCATGCCCAAGGCCCCAGGAACTTCCCCGTGAAATGACTGATTAAAAGTGCTCAGTGATTCGCTTGACCGACTGCATGCAGTATTGCATTTGGAAGGTGTAGAAATCTAATCACATTTTCTGCCTCAAGGGACTGAGCAGCTCCCAATAAGATTTTCCTGAGTGTGTCTCTGCAGCAGTTGGTGGGAGTGACACGACTGGTGAGACTGAGACAGCCTGGGGCTCAGAGCAGGTAGGAGTGGTCATGTGGGGAGAGGAGAGCACAACCAATGGAAAGCCCAGGGGAAGGTCCTCACTGTGGCTTGCTGACTGCTTTTCTAGTTTCCAGGGTTGTGTGTTACAACTCTCTGAATGGAGACCCATTCTGGCAGAATGGTCAACAGCCCACCCTGCTAATGAGATGGAGGAATTTAAATTCATTCCCCACAGCAGAGTTAGGAGAGTCAAAATATACATTTCAGCAGGTAATTGAATTCATTCCACAATGTGGTACTTCTTGCCACCTTAGTGAGCCAAGAGCCCATTACCTGCTCCTAAGGGAAGGCAGGGAGTTGACAGATGTAAATTGCTTTGTCAGGTGACTGATTTGCAGCATCAACTGCTCCAGAGTGATAGCAGTCTTCCCTTCATATTAGTTTATCTTTGGAAATGAATTTCCTAACCTTGACCTGAACCCCATGAATACTTTCAAATCAGTGGCTGCCTTCAGGTTCAAACTTACAACACAGGAGAGAATAATTTCTAAGCCCAAAACTTTCTAAAATGCCTGGTTTTAAAGGATAGGAGTTGGCTTTCAAAGGCAGTGTCTTATTGTGGGCTGCGATGATGAGTCAGCTCATTTTATGACTAATCCACTTATAACACTGCAAGCGGCCGTGCTGTTCTGAGTCTTGGCACATTCCTCTTTATTAAATCACATCACTTAGAGGCCAAGAGCTCTACTGAGGTGTTCAGGAGTGACCATAATGTGGGAGGAGAAGAGAAAGAAAGGCCAAATAGGGTGGGAAGCCTCTGACTTGGACTAACCCCCACCCCCAATTGTAATCAGAGCTGCTCAACTTTCATTTGTTCATTGTACTGTGGTATCGCACTAAGTTTTCTGTAAAAAAAGGATTCTACTCCAGGGACTGGGATGAGTATTTTTTTATTAATTTTTAATTGACAAATAATAATTGTATACTTATGCAATACAATGTGATATTTTGATCTATGTATACATTATAGAAATATTCACTCAAGCTAATTAACATATCTATCACCTCAGCAAGTTATTGTTGTGTGACTGAGAACATTAAAAGCCTATATTTTTTTCGTGGTAAACTTTATTTCAATAGGTTTTTAGGGAACAAGTGGTATTTGGTTACAT
Organism: Homo sapiens; assembly: GCF_000001405.40. NCBI lineage: Eukaryota > Metazoa > Chordata > Mammalia > Primates > Hominidae > Homo > Homo sapiens. The sequence goes on along the minus strand of NC_000005.10, from coordinate 152,688,267 downwards.
TAATAAGTTCTTTAGTGGTGATTTCTGAGATTTTGGTGAACCCGTCACCTGAGCAGTGTACACTGTACCCAATGTGTAGTCTTCTATCCCTCACCCCCCACTCCCACCCTTTCCCCTAAGTTCCCAAAGTCCACTGTATCATTCTTATGCCTTTGTGTCCTCATAGCTTAGCTCCCACTTATCAATGAGAACATATGATGCTCAGTTTTCCATTTCTGAGTTACTTCACTTAGAATAATGGTCTCCAATTCCATCCAGGTTGCGGCAAATGCCATTATTTTGTTCCTTTTTGTGGCTGAGTAGTATTCCATGATATATACAAACCATATTTTAAAAGTCGATTTTTTAACAATTTCAAAATATACAATGCATTATTAACTGTGGTCACCATGGAGTATGATAGCTCACTAAAACTCTAGTCTAACTGCAACTTGGTACCTTTGGATCAACATCTCCCTTTTTCCCATCTCCTTTCCCCTCAGCCTCTGGTAACCTTTCTACTCTGTTTCTATGAGATTGATGTTTTTAGGTTCACCATATAAGTGAGATCATATAGTATTTGTCTTTCTGTGCCTAGCTTATTTCACTTGGCATAATGTCCTCCAGTTTCATTCATAATGTCATGAATGACAGAATCTTCTTTTTAAAGGATGTATGTATCCCATTATGTATAAATATCACATTTTCTTTACTAATTCTTTCATTGATGGACCCTTAGATTGCTTTCCTATCTTACCTATTGTAAATAATGCTGAAATAAACATGGGAGTACAGCTATCCCTTCAACATATTGATTTTAATTTTTTAATGTAGACACTAATGATGTTTGACAGTTCTCTCTCAGTAGTGTCTATTGTACTTTCAGAGTTTTGTCTGGGTCTGCTGAGTCATAGGCATATAATGGCAGAGTGAAAAGAATAGTGCACAGGGATTCAGGAGACCAGGCCACTGGTGTCCTATTCCTGCCCCTAGTTATCCTGTAACCTTGAGGAAATCCCATCCCCTTTCTCAACCTGACTCTCCCCCATTGGTCTCTAGATGTTACTCTTCTGCCAGGTCTGCCCCACAGACCCTGGCCGATCGACAGATGAAAGGAGTACTCAGACACAGGTATGCAGTGTAAGAGCAGCTAGGGTACTGCCGTGCTCTAGTGGCCAAAGTGCAGCAGCCCCGAGAAGCTGGAGTTGCTTGCATTTACTCAGTGTAGGCACAATGCCAATAGCCTGGAGCAAACACAATCTGTGGGTAACCTTTATTGTGCCCCTTTCAGGGAAAGGGATGTGTGTGGATGATCAAAGGTCAGCTTTTGGTCAATTTAAGTAAACAAGCCTGTTTAAGATAAATTCCCCTACACTCCCTTGTATCTACTCCTTGCCCTCTGCCTCAGGGTTAGAAAACAGCTGCCTTCAGCTATTCTCCCCTGAAGCTATGCAGAGCCTTCCGACCTTTCCGAAGGCCTGTTCCTTTCTGAAGGCCTGCCTCTTTCCCTCTGGTTTCTCCCACCACTCTGACCCATCTCCTACACTCTTCTATGGCTATTCCCAGGTATGTGACTATGGCATAAACAAGACTGGCTTTGGGTTATGTGTAGTTCCTGGTACCTACTATAAATCTATTAATCTCTGAAAAGTTATAAACCCCTGATATTCACTGCCAGATATGAATGATTTTTTACACTTTTAATTTATCAATAGCAGAGACTACTTTTTAAATGGAATCTCACATGGAAGCCCAAATCTCTAGCACAAGAAAGTGAAGCCACTGTGTTTGGGAGGAAGGTTACAGCAACTGGCTACTCTCTCTTCTTTTATGATTCCTACAGTGATCCAAGAGACATCTTCGGGGGAAATCTGGAACTATCTGGAATGTGTTTTGTAAATGATTGGACTAGATGTTTTTCATAGATTTATCAATCTATGAGGCAGTACACTAGAATCAGGAAAGCACGATGTCATTAGAATGTCTATATACATCAATTAAGATCTCATGTATGTGGTATGGCAGCCAGGGACATACGCCATTTGGATCACTCTTAAGGAACTTGCTATTCAACTCTAAGAAATACAGTGAGCTGATACCCTCCAAATATTAGGAGCTTCAGGATCTGCCCCGTCCTTCCAGCTGATGCCACATTCCTCACCTGCATCCCCAGCCAATGACTCAGTATGATGGGGTTATCAGAGTTTGGCCATTTTTGCCCACTGTGGGTTATCTCTTGGCTCTGTGTCTTCCCAATGGGTGGTCCAAGACTTGTTAAATTTGCCCAATTCTATTTCCTCCACTTTTTATCCCTCACAAGTATTAACATTACAACCTCAGGTAACCTTTTACATCACTCTATAAAGCTTTCAGATGACCATAACAATACTGAATAGCACAGTATTGGTTTATTACAATAGGCATGAGACTTCCTTTCTACTAAAAACAAATGAGAGAATGAGGATGAGAGTAAGTGAATGAAAGGGAAAGGAAGAGGTCAGGCATTAATCATAGCATCTGGCACGTGATAAACGCTTGATAATCATTTCTCTTTTTGTCTGTACCTTATTAGCTATAACCTGCTGATTCAACACTAAGCCTGGCCAGCCAAGCTCCTGGATTCTCCAGGTGGTTGGCTAAAGTTATCTTTCTCCTGTTTTCAGTTAAGTCATGATTATCACAGGTCTCTACACCAAGTCCTCTGGGCGTCAATTTTGTCTTTGGTACTACGGACCTTTCTTCCCCCAGACTCTACTCTCAGTAGCTATATCCCTTATTCCTCTGTTGTGGAATCAGTTGTTAGTATACTGATTCCTGTTCTGCCCTCCTTTTCTTTAACTTATACACCTATCCATCAACAAATATCCTTATTAACTGTGATGTATAAAATGTCATATTTGCCACCATGGGGGGTAGAAGTCTCATTTAGACATTAATTTTGGCCTCAGGGTACTTATAGATGGTAATAGATTCCCATAAATTACATTCATACTTTATTATAATTATAAATACTCGTTAAGAGTATTTATAAGAGAAGTTCAGATGATGCTCAGTTAATACTCAGAGGATAAAATTAAAATATATATTTTTATATATGTAAACATATTTATATACATATTATATATAAATATATATATATTTTTCAAAGTTTCAATATCAGATGACTTCTGGGAGAAAGTTACATTCACAATGGGGCTAAGATATTAAGTCATTAGCAGAAAGCTGATCAATAAGCCAAAATAATATGAACTGCCATATGAATCAATCATCCCTTACTCCCTCTCCCAAGGTGGCAGTCAAGGGGCAAAGTACAGATCATAGAACTGAGAAATGTCTCATTAGAACCTTAATTTATGAAGCCAAAGTAGACGCAAATGCCAGGAAAAGCATCACCATGATGCACAGGTTTTTAGTCGCACAGGGTTATCCTCACACACCATCAGCACAGCCTTCAGACCACTGAGTTATTTCTGAAAATCTGTCATATGTTATTTTTTTTCCAGATGGTAGTCTGAAAGGGACAGAATGAGAGAGGGAGCTGGAGAAAGAAATGAATAAACACGAATGCATCTGGAGAATGAGGCATCTTGGAATCTGGAAAGTGAGGCATCCTGGAAGAGAGATGAAGGTAAAATTTTAAAGATAACGAAATTTTTAAAATTATACCCTCACCGTAAGTGAGGATGAGTTGAGGCACAAAGACACATTAGCTGAGATTTCTCCATGTAACCCAAGCATAGATAAAAATAACAAAAGAGGCCAACTCCACTGTATATTCTGAGAGTTCCACGTATGAAGAGTTGGGATTGGGACAGAATATGAGGAATGGAGAAAGGAGTGACTTCTAGTTCTTTTTATCAGTCCCGATAAAGGAATAAGAGAGAAACGAGACTTAAGTGGGCAGTCTTACAACCTCTAGAGATAAGCACCATAAATTAAAACAATCTTCCAGAGGCCATATTAAGAGATTACAGAATAAGTTGGTGACAGGGTGTGAAGCTACTTCTAGAAGATGGGGTGGTAGAAAGAGAGATGAAGAGTGGGTTAAAACAGAGGCTTAAATTTAGACTGACAAGTATGCATAAGTGTCATTTTATCTAAAAGCAGAATGGACTAAATGACATAAGGGTTGTTTTTTGTTTTTTTTTTTTTTCAGTGCAATAGCTATTTTACAGGTATGTTTGCCAGCTTGAAAGTTGAACATTAAGGTATTTCAAATCCAGGTCTTCATTTGCATATGGACAAACAAAAGCTAAAACAAAACCCCCCAAATATATACCTTGGGTTCTTGGCTTCCCTTTCTACTATTTCTCTCTTGCCGTGGATATAGGCAAACCCTATGCTTTTAGTCAGCCAAATATTTTGGTTCTCTGAACTACTCTAAACCAAGCAGTGTCATTAAATTGACTTGGGCCTGCTTTGGGGAAATGTACTTTTCTGTTAACTGTGGGCTTTCTTCCAGAGTTTGGGAATGTGGCTCAAACATTATCACCGGTGTTACCTAAGTTCAGCCTTGGAAAGCTATTTTGGAAACTGAAAATATGAACCTAACTTCATAATTATATGGAACCCGGAGGCTGTCTATATTTTATGATTTGAGAGAAATTTGGATTAGGAGTCTTTTACTCTCTGGCCTGGAAAACTCACAACAGGACAATCCTAAATGTACAGAGTAAAGAATAATGAAAGCAAAATTTGAGGCCACCACTGAGAATATTTTAGGTACTCCACAATTTCATTTTAAACCTGGGGCCATAAACAGTTGGCCTGCAGCATGCATGGAGGTTCAATGTTGCTTCTCTCCAACCTAGCTACAAGTAACAATTCTAAACTCACTCCCCAATATCACGTTGCAGCCCAAAATAGAAGCATTAACTTCTGACTTGTGCTTAATGCTTTCCTGCCTCCCTGTTCCCTTCTTCCACACCATAACACTGTCTCCCTGTTTGCAGAGTGTTCATGATCTAGCTCTACTGTGAATGTACCCTAACAATGAAGTCTTTTATAATTTTCCTAACCAGAATTAATGTTTCATTTTTTGAGATATTGTTAACATGCCCTAAAATTGATGCTTTTAAAGTGCATCCTTTTAAAGTCAGTGACTTTTAGAATATTCTCAAAGTTGTGCATTCAACACCAATAATTTTAGAATATTTTCATCACTCCAAAAAGAAATCTTGTTCCCATTAGCAGTCAGTCTCTATTCTACTTACCCCCCAGCCCTTAGCGGCCACTAATCTACTTTTTGTCTCTATGGATTTGCATATTCAGTACATTTAATACAAATGGAATCATAAAATGAGTGGCTTTCTGTGTCTGGTATTATTCACTTAGGATGTTTTCAAGATTTATCCATGTAGAGCATGAACCAGTACTCCATCCCTTTATATGGCTGATTTTCCCTTCTGTCAATATATTATATTTCTTAATTGATAGCCATTGAGTCATTTCCACTTTGAGTATTATTAATAATACTGACATGAACATGTATGTATGAGTTTTCATATGGGCATTTATTTCCATTTCTCTTGGGTAGACACCCAGCTAGGAGTAAAATAATCTGGATCATATAGTAACTCTACGTTTAGCCCATTGAGGAACTGCCAAACTGTTCACCAAACTGGCTGCACCATTTTACGTTCTTACCCAAAGTATATGAGCTTTCCAGTTTCTCCACATTCTCTCTAACACCTATTGTCTTTTTAAAATGGATTTATCCTAGTGGGTATGAAGTGATGATATCATTTGGTTTTGATTTGTATTTCCCTAATGATGGATGATGATGACTGTCTTTTCATAGCTCATTGGCCATTTGTATATATTCTTCAAAGAAATGTCTTTCTTCTTTAATTGACTTATTTACAGCTGTAAATTTCCCTCTAAGCACTACTTTAGTTGCATCCCATAATTTTGGCATGCTATTTTGTTTACATTCATTTTGAAGTGTTTTGTAATTCCCCTTGTGATTTTTTTCTTTGGCTTATTGTTGTTTAGGAGTATGTTGTTTAACTTCCACATGCTATTGAATTTCCCAAGTTTCCCTCTGTTACTGATTCCATTGTACTTGGAGAACATACTTTTTGTGATTTCAATCATTATACATCTATTGAAACTTGTTTTGTGGCCTAATATAGATTCTATCTTGAAAAGTATTCAGGAACACTTGATTTATTTTACTGTTGCTGGGTGGAGTACTCTACAGATAACTTTGTATGTAGTTTATTTATATTGTTGTTCAAGTCTTCTATTTTCTTGTCGATCATCTGTCTGGTTCTATCCATTGCTTAAATTGAGATATTGAAGTCTCCAATTATCATCAAATTTTCTGTTACTCACTTCAATTCTGTATGTTTCTACCTCGTGTATTTTGGGACTTTTTTGATGCTTATATAATTATTGTATATTTTTGGATGAATTGACTCATTATAAAATATTGCTCTTTATTGCTAGAACATGTTTATCTTAAAGTCTATTCTGTCTGATATTAGTCTAGCCCCACTCCGGCTCTCTTTTGCTTACTGTTTACATCGTGTTTCTTTTTACCACCCTTTAACTGTTAGCCTATTTTTGTGTTTGATGTAAAGTGTATGTCTTGTAGACAACATGTAGTGGCATCCTGGTTTCTTTTGATCCATTTTTCTAATTTCTGCTTCTTAATTTGAGAATTTAGTACAAATGGGATTACTGATAAGGTAAGGTAGGAATTATATTTGCCATGTTGTATTTATTTTCCTTATTTTTTGTTTCCTATCTTTCATTATTGCCTTCTTTGTGTTAAATAGATATTTTCAAGTGTACCATTTTAATCACCTTGTTTCCTTTACTACTAATTTATTTTCTTAGTGGTTACCCCAGGGATTATGTCAATGACCTTAATTTGAAACAATCTAGTTTATTTCAATCAATTTCAACCAGTATAGAAAAAATTGTTTCTGCATAGATCCAGTTCATCACCCTTCTTTGTGCTATTGTCATACAAATAACTTCTTTACACATGATATAACCATCAACACAAATTTATAATTATTTATGCAGTTTTTTAAATCAAATAGAATAAAACCCTTATAAACAAAAATATATTTAACCTGTATTTTATATTTACCTATGCAATTATTTTTACCGGTTATCTTCATTTATTTATGTGAATTAAAGTTACTTTCTAGTGTTTCTTCACATCAGCTGAAGGATTCATTTAGCATTTCTTATAGGAAAAGTCAAGTTAGTGAATTCTCAGTTTTTGTTCATCTGGTAATGTCTAAATTTATTTTTGAAGAATAGTTTGGTTGGATATAGATTCTTGGTTGACAGTCTTTCTCTTTTAGCATTTTGAATATGCCATTCCTCTGTCTTCTGGTCTCCATGATATCTGATGGCAAATCAGTTTTATTCTCTTTGAGTGAACACCCCCTTTAAATGATCAGTTTCTTCTCTTCTGATGCTTTTAAGATTTTTTCTGTCTTAGGTTTTCAACAGCTCAATCAATTATTATGGGTCTGAGCATGGATCTCTGAATTCATCTTATTTGGAGTTCTTGGACATGTTTTCAGCCGTTATTTCTTCAAATATTCTATCTCTCTCTATCCTCTTGGGGTTACCATTGTCTATATATTAGTGTGCTTGATGGACTGCACTCCTTCAACACTCTGCCAGGCAGTTAACAACCATGATTTAGCCTTTATCTCCCCCTTCTGCAGAAACTCAAGGTTAGCCAGAAGTAAGAGCTCAGGTGTTTCCAGGGCATTTTCATAGGCCCAAACATGTACACAGCCCTATGTGCATGTCTATGACCTTCTAGATTCTCTGAAATATATCAGAGCTTTTCAAAACACCCTTTGGATCTCTTATTCCCAAGATTTCCTTAAGCTTTTTGGTTAGCCTATTATTTTCCTCAACTGTTTCCCACTTCTTCAGGAGTTAAGCTTCCTGTTAGGTTAAATAAATAAAGCTTTGCTAGTGGGTTCTTCTAGGAAACCACCAAACAGATCAAATAATGACAATGCTCTGATAGTGGGACTTTGAAAGGGTTTTTGCCCCATTCTACTCCCTTTGGTGGTTCTTAGGCTGCTGGATTTTACCATGATTGCAGGCTATTTGGATTTCAAGACTTACTGTGGTGCTGGGGAGGGGAGGGGATGCAAATAGGAAAAATTAAGATGTCATAAAGCTCACTGTTCATACCTAGATTCAGCTGGTTATCTTAAATATTTTCAGGATTTCCATAAGCCTTTAATTAATTTTTAGAGTTTTGAAAAAGTTAATTCTGACAATTTATGCTGGTGTTCTTTCTGCTTTTATGGAGAAGAAAATTTTCAGACTGACACTTTTGTTAATATCCTTAGTCTTTCACTTTTAATGAACTTCTTCTATGGCACCAGTGAAACTAGGTATGCACACAATGGTAAATATACATATATATAACCAAAAGCAAGGAATTTAGATGACTGTGGGCTCAATAGAATGTTGTAGTTAGGATAGTAAATAGAATGAGCTAGGGAGATGGGAGATGGTGGTTTGTGAATGAAATGTTTAAAAATGAGGTTATGGAGGTATTGTGGTTATTGTTAATGATAAGGTATGTGGAATGAGTAAGAGAAAAAGACTGAAGAAGGAAACGTTAGAAACAAAGGCCAAGGTGTTGAACAATCCACTATGGTGAATTTTGACTTCACTAAAGATTATTCCAGAAGAAAGTTTAAATAGGGAAAAGCAGTGAACCAAAATCTTTAAGGAATGAGGGATAATGATGAAGTGTCATCTGACAATGACACTAAGGGGGCAACATGTATGTGAGGTCAATATAAGATTCCAATAGGTTTTTAGGTTAAAAAATAAATAAATAAGCATCTGGAAGTATCAATGAAGAGTAAGGAGGACATTTACTCCACCTCAGGGCCCTTGTAGAAGAGATATCGGGGAGAAAGAACCTATAGCAAGAGGGCTTCAAGGGTGGCCATATCCTCAGGAAAGATTCAGGTTTATATTAAGGGAAGAAGGTAATGAACATTTCTTGAAAACATCGAAGGCATGGGAAATTTGTTGCAGAAGCCCATGGGACACAGTGATCTAAGCACTTTGTGTATACTGACTGACTTATCAAATCCTTATAACAACCCTCTCAGGTAAGTAATATTTTTACTTCCATTTTGCTGATGAGAAAAAAAAACTAGGCACAAAAAGTTTTAGAAACTTATTCAAAGTGCTAGTAAGTGCCAGAGATGGAATCCATACCCAAGCCATCTGGCTTCAGGAGTCCACATATAACCCCAGCACTCCACTGCCTCTCACAAGTAAATTATAGACATTATAACTGATGGGATTGTAGCTACAGTTTCCAATGCTAATTCAGGGCAGCACACCAGCCCACTTGGAAGAGGAAATCTTTCACTCTCAGGTCATTTCCAACCCTCTCTAGGTAATGACTTTAAGAGTCATGACTGTTCATTTGTTCATCAAATAGTCACTTCACAGTGTTTCCAGCACTGTTCTAAGCTCTGGGATACAGTGTTGAAGAAAACAGATAAAACTGCTTTCAAGGAATTTGTATCCCAGTTGGGGAAGCAGATAGTAAATTATGTAGTAAGTTAAAGGACAATAAATGGAATAGAGAAAATAATGTACGGAAGGAGAATAGATTATGCATGTGTATTTGAGGGGGAGTTTGATTTTAAATATAGTAATTAGGGAAGACATCACTGAGAAAGAGTCATCTGAGCAAAGACCTGAAGGAGGAGATGAGAACAAACCATATGGCTATCTGGAGAAAGAGCACTGCAGTGCAGCAGAGAGAAAAGCCAGGACACACAGCAAGGAGGCCATTATGTCTAACTCAGAGTGATTCAAAGAGAAGGTTGGAGATTTGAAGCAGGGATGGGACATATTGCATGGGGCCTTACAGACTTTTGTAAAGACTTTGTGTTTTCTGAGTTAGATGGAGAGCCACTGCAGTGTTTTAAACAGGTAAATGCCACGATCTGACTGACAAATTTAAAGTATCATTATGGCTTATACATTGAGACTAGGATGTACGGAGTAAGGGTGGAGGAAACAGGCATCTAGAAGGCATTTACAATAATCAAGGTAAAATATGATGTTGACAGGGATCATAGTGGTATCAGTGGAGGGTGAGTAGCAGTAAGAATCTAGATATACATTGAACGTGGAGCATGAGATAAACAGGAGTCAGGTGACTTTATGGTTTTGGCTTAAGCAACTGAAAGGATAGAATTGTCATCGACTGAGATTGTAGATAACTATGGATGGAGTGGATTTGGCTGAGAAGCAGGGAGGTTGCTAGATTGGTTTGAGATATATTGAACTTGAGATGGCTATTAGCATCCAGATGAAGATATTAAATACAAAGATAGATGTCTGGAAGGTTCATCAGCACAAGAGAGTGAGTGTAGACAGAAAAGAGAAGTCCTAGGAATGAGCTCCTTTGTATTCCCTAACCATGAAGATGTCAGGAAGATGAAAAGAAACCAGCAAGGGTTAGTGTGAAGGAATGAAACCAGGACTATGTCTGTTTGGCAGCTAAAGGTAGAAAATGTTGGCCGTGTGTGGTGGCTCACACCTGTAATCCCAGCACTCTGGGACGCTGAAATGGGTCGATCAGCTGAGGTCAGGGGTTCAAGACCAGCCTGGTCAACATGGTGAAACCCCATCTCTACTAAAAATACAAGCAATAACTGGGCATGGTGCCAGGAGCCTGTAATCCCAGCTATTCGGGAGGCTGAGGTAGGAGATTCGCTTGAACCTGGGAGGCGGAGGTTGCAGTGAGCCAAGATCGCACCATTGCACTCCAGCCTGGGTGACAGAGGGAGACTCTGTCTCAAGAAAAAAAAAAAGGAGAAAATGTTTCAAGAAAGAGGGAGTGATCAATGCCACATGCTGCAATGTGTAGGTGACTGTTAGAAGAACAGTGTCTGGAATGGTGGGATGAAAACCTAATAAGGGTGGGTCAAGGAGAGAATTAAAGGAGAGGAATTGGAGACAATAAGCATAAACAAGTTTTTCTAGTAGCTTTGCTATAAAGAGGGCAGAGAAATGGGGTGGTAACTAACTGGGGGAGAAAATGAGGTCAGCAGATGTTTTTCAAGATGGGAAAACTGTTGTATTTGTGCATACTGATGGGAAAGAACTAGTAGATAAAGGGAAATAAATGTCAGGAAAGTGTGGGGAGAATGGCTGCAGTGTGTCATCAGGCTGCAGGGAAAGGGTCAAATGCTCTGGTGAAGGTGTGAGTCTTCAATAGGCGCAGATGGCTCATGTCAGGAAAGGAGATCCAGGCTCCTGGGGCAGACGGCCTGGGGTCACATCTAAGCCCACACATGCCTTTACTGCATATTTTTGAGTAAATTATTTAATCTCCCTGAACCTCTGTGGTGCTTGAAAAATATACCACAGAGTATCTAATGTATAGTAAGGGGTCAAATAGCTACTGTTGCTCTAAGAGAAAATAAACCTTCATAATTTGGCTAACGACAGAAGAAAAACTTTCAGCATACTGTCTGCATTGTCTACAGCATGTTTTCCAAAATTTGAGTTAATCCTCCTTCCTCTGACATATTCTCCAATGGCACACACAGATTTGTGTATTTTGCACACACTTTGCCTCGTCCATGTCATGGACTGCTCAGAAAGGTAATTATCCCAGCAAACTAAGCTGCATGAAAAGATAAACTGCTTAGTGGATTAAAATTGCATATTTTTTATAACCTGATGGCACAAACATCCTCGTTTCGCTTGTTGTGTGTCTCATAAATCTCTCCAGGACGTCTACTGCTGCTGCTTTGGAGTTTTTCCATCATCACCTTCTTTTCTCTGGCGGTGGTGAAACAGACTCAGAAAACATCTCCTCTGGCAGCACTATTCCCTGTCTCCAGGAGATGAGCTATGATGACACCCGCCTCTCACAGAGACACAGGGGTTGTGACAATTTAATAGACTGGAAAAATAATTGAGAGAGAAAACCAACAATTCTTCCCTCCCCTGGGGAGGAGGATGGGGTTTCATTAAGGGCTCAGATGCTTAGAAGCAGTTGGCTGTTATTACAAGGGCTTTCTGCTGGCAACCTTTATGTACTAGTGTTAATAAAAAAAGGCAAGTAGCTTAGTGCCATTTGCCACTGGAGCAGCCTTTCTAGCTTAGCTGCCACTGTAATGTCGCAGCCTCTATGCAGGTCCTGGCAGTTTTTCCAAAGGCATTAGAGAATCATTTGGGGAGCATTTGCTGACTGTCTATTTAACGGTCAGACAGAATAGGCTTAAGAAGAATTTAGGCTTCTAACTTCTTCTGACATCTGCTGACCTCATTTTCTCCCTCAGTTAGCTACCACCCCATTTCTCTGCTCCCTTTATAGCAAAGCACTAGAAAAACTTGTTTATGCTTATTGTCTCTAGTTCCTCTCCTTTAATTCTCTCCTTGACCCACCCTCATTAGGTTTTCGTCCTGCCATTCCAGACACTGTTCCTCTAACAGTCCCCTACACATTGCATCCTAGAAATCTTAAGCCTAGAAAATAGGCTTAAGAATGCAGTTAGAAAGGAGGAAGTATGGACATAAATTAAGTCAGGTACAAGAGGTATAAAGTAGGTACCCAGAGATCTTTATTCAGTTACAATACATTCCTCAGTTCTAAGATTCTATATATTTTTTAACTTTTCTTTTATGTTTAGGGGTACATGTGCAGTTTTGCTAGATAGTAAACTCATATCACAGGGGTTTGTTGTACACATTTTCGTCACCTAGGTACTACACCTAGTACCCATAGTTTGTGTTTTTTTATTCTTTCCCTCCTCCCACATCAGGTAGGCCCCAATGTCTGTTGTTCCCTTCTTTGTGTCCATGAGTTCTCATCATTTAGCTCCTACTTATGTGTGAAAACATGTGGTATTTGGTTTTCTCTTCCTGCAATAGCTTGCTAAGGATCATGGCCTCCAGCTCCATCCATGTTCCAAGAGATTCTATATTGTATAGGTCTGACTGCTTCAACAACCCTGCAGCCCACCTTGGCCACTCATCCTCCACTCCCATCCCAGTATAAGCATTAGGAGCACCTGAAGGCTAGTCCTCAAGATTGTGTATTTTTACACTTTCTACTGACTTTAGTTTCTTGTATTGCCTTGCCTTCTTGTTTCCTATTCCATTTCAGTGGCTATGGTGACTGACAAATAGTAGGTACGCAAATGCTAACTGAATAGCTAAAGTCTTGACACCAACTCAGTAGTTTTGTTATCAATGTCAACACAAGTAACTTCAGTTTTGAATCCACATATCAATTCTCTGCTGTCTAGACTAAAAAGTTCTATGACTTTAGTCTCCATGACTACAGAGTGTCTACATCCCCCATACTCAGAAAAGAGCCACATCACAGGCACCAAGTGAGTACTGATTGCCTGGCTAACTTCTATACATGTTCTAGAAGAATGAGGATGTACAAATGAGAAGGAATCCAGAAGAGTCTTATTAGATGAGAATATGTCCTCAGATTTTGTCAATGTGCTTGTATTCCAAGCACGCTACCAGCCCTAACTTTACTTTTGTGGAGTACCTCCTCACCCTTGCATCTACATTAGCTCTGAATGCACATTCCACATGCACATTCCACACTTCCACATAGTCATCATTGAGCTCCATAAAACAAACTGGCAAACTCACATGGCATGAAGGAGAGGGCATCCAGGATCATTTTAGATTCAAAAGCTGACTGGAAAAGTGATGATGTGAGACCTGACATCTTGACACTGGAATTGGTGTCCCTTGGGCTGCCAGGAAAGCTGCCTCCAGTATAGGAACACTTGCCATTTAGAAAATAGAACTTAACTGTGTGTGTGTTTTTTTCTCCTAGAAGGAAGAATCAAGAGGTGGAATTTATAGGAACACATATCTCAATTTAACACCATAAACCTACAAAAATTGAGGACTACTTTGTAATATAGCAAAATCACCCAAGGAAATATTCAAAAAAGGTCTAGGTGACTATCCAGAATATCAGAGAAAGCATTTCTGAGTCAGGGAAGTGATCAGTTAATAAGATATTTAAGATCTCTTTTAACTTGAAAAGGCAAGTGTCCAAGAAACATGTAAATCTATGACTATTAGAAGTATTATGATGATGTCTATTATTTATGAAGTACTTGATATTTGCCTGGCACTATGTGAAGCCCTTTAATTCACATCATTCCTGTAACAGATTTATGAAGTAGGCAATGTTCTAATACCCATATTAAAGGTAACAAAAATAGGTTAAGGTAACTTCCCCAAGGTTACCTACTAAGAACAGTAGTCTCCATGGTTACTTTCTTATAGTTTTAATTACCTATGGTCAACTGCAGTTGGAAAATATTAAGTAGAAAATTTCAGAAATAAGAAATTCATGAGTTTTAAACGTGCACTCTTCTAAGTAGTGTGATGAAATATTGAGCCATCTCATGCTGTTCTGTTCTGTGAATCATCCCTTTCTCCACTGGATCCAAGCTTTAGACCCTACTCACCCATTGTGACTTAGTAGCTGTCACAGTTATCTGATCAACTCACAGTGCTTCTGTCAGGTAACTTTTATTCTACTTAATAATTAACTCACAGCCCAAGAGTAGTGATGCCAATGATATGCCAAAGAGAAGCTGTCAAGTGTTTTCTTTAAGAGAGAAGGTGAAAGTTCTCAACTTAAGGAAAGAAAACAAAATCATATGCTGAGGTTGCTAAGATCTGCAGTAAGAATGAATTTTCTATCTGTGACATTGTAAAGAAGAAAAAAGAAATTTGAGATAGTTTTGCTGTTGCACCTCAAAAATGGCAAAAGTTATGGCTACAGTGCATGATTGGTGTTTAGTTAAGATGGGAAAGGCACCAAATTTGTATGTGGAAAACAAAACCACAGATGTTCTGATTGATGATAATTAGGTTTGGTACTGTCTGGAGGTTCAGGCTTTCACTGGGGTTCTTTGAATGTATGTCCCATGGGTAAGTTGGGAATACTATAACTATCAGAGCTAGGATTCAAACCCAGGCACTGTGACTCCAGAACCTAAATTGTTAACCACTAAATGCACTGCTTCCTCTTAAGAGAGAAAATAATTAGCTCCTAGGAGTGGTGAAGCTCTTAATTTTAAATCGAAAAACTAAAAAGCCTTCTCTGAAAAAGGATGTTTTAAGCTGGGACTTAGAAAGTTAGTTATGGAGTAGGGGTAAAAGCCTCCCATGAGCAGGGAGTGTCATACAACACTGAAAGTGGGGTCCTTTCAAAGAACCAGAAGGAGATAACTATAATAGGAACAAATTGAAGAATAAAGAAAGTGATTCACAACAAGGCAAAATCTCTGGGCTGGTGTAAGGTCACACAGGCTGTGCTTAAGGACTTTGGATTGTACTCTAAGTACAGCAGGGAGTTCTATGACATACTAAGGATGGATATCATCAGCTCATTTTGCAGATAGAGGAGAAAACCTGGTGAAGGGAATTAAATTCCCAGAGTCCTTAGAAGGCTGTTATGATTGAGAAATTATTATTGTTGTCAGCCATTGGGGGATTGTTCGTTACTGTGTCATAACCATGCAAAAGTGGACTAGTACTACATGTAAGAGTTAGATACAGAAGGGCTGTGAGAATGGAAAGAGTTGTGTGGCTAAAAACAAACATTTACAAAGACCCTGGGGAAGGAAAGGGGTGTGACATGTTGGAGAGCTCAAAAGGTTGGTGCTTCCGGATCCAAGGAGGGAGGGAGTGGCTCTAAAGGAAACTGAAAAATCAGTCTGGGGCCACATCATGTAAGGCCTTGTAGGTATTTCAAAATTTTAGATTTAATCCTAAGTGCGTTAGAAGACCAAGGATCAACAAGATAATCTTTATGAAAGTGATAGTTTTACTTTGCAAGCTGTAAAGCAATAGCAGATATAATGTACTTTTCATTAAAGATAAAAGACCTTTTCAGCCTGGAACATTGAAAGTCACAATCATCCTAATTCTTCACTCCTAATTTCTCTAGCACACATCTCTTCCACAAAAGGATATTCTCCTAAGTAGCCACAACATCATAATCACATTTAACAAAATAAAAAAAAAATTGAATTTTTACAAAATTTTAGAATAAAATTTCATGGGAATAAATAAAAGCCTGAGCCTCACAGAAGGGACAGTCCCAAATATAACAAAGATTATTTTAATTCCTACTTATTTGATGAGAAACACTTTAATTTAACCCAAGCATATTAAAGCTGTAAGATTCCACAGAAATCACGTAATTTTAAAACTATCATTCTTAGTAAGAAGACATATATATGCCACAAGTTATTGATTGACACAGCTGGGCCTAGAAATGTTTTTTACCTTTAGCTCCATCCAACACCATCATCTCTATGTACCACTAAGAAAGCTTGGGGATTTTCCCTTATTTTCAAGGGCAACAAGGGAATCAATTTAAGCCAAGTCCTACCAAGAATTACTTTCTCTCCAGATAATCCATTTTTAATAAATCAGTCTGAAGTGTAGCACTCCATTAACATGCTTCATCTCTGTCAGCATTCCAGAGGTGTTCAGTTGGCATGGTTAATTCCCAAACATTCATCTTACCTCTGTAACAAGTGGCTAAACCCAGATATAATTTAGAGCCTTGGACCTAGTCATGAGGCACTGTTTAAAGCCAGTGTTTTATCCATGAGCCCAATGGGAATATTGCTTATGACAGTTTAATACAGCTGCAGTATTAGAGCAATTTATTTTCAGAAACCTACACCAATGCTTTCTTTTTCTACTCCTCTAAATGCCACAATGAGATATGTTTTTATGAGCCATAGGAAGTCTCATAGTGCAGGAGAAGAAGAATAAGATTATGAACTGTTGCTATATTACCTACGAGTTTCAGTAGATGTCAGTTCAACAGCACAATAAATCAATAACTGTATATGCATTTCAAAATATACATTGACTTAGAGGCTTCCTGTCTTCTCAGAGAACATGTTCGAAACAACTTACTTGGGAACTGTAGGCCCTCCATCATTTCTCCTCCCACTCACTCTCTGTTCATGTTATCTCTTTTGTACTCCAGACCTCTATCTCTAACTCCTCATGAGCCAACACCTGACACTTGTATTGAAAGATGGTTATTCGAACATCCCTTCCATGTGAATGTCCCATAAAAGCATCAAATTCAGTGGGCCACTGTTTGGTTTTAAGTACAATAACTGATCATCCCTCTTTCCCCATTAACTTTATAACTTGGGAAAAAAACACAGGAGGAAGATATGGTACAAAATATTAGCCTATTCCTGGTAAAATTGGATAGGAGGAGTCCTGGGGCTGATTCCAAATTGCAATTTCTAACCCCCTCAGACATCCCAAATTATATTTAACTACTGAGTCACATGCCAAGAAACACAAACATTGCAGGCTTCCTCCTGCTGCCTCTATTCCCAGGTACCTTACCTATTCTAATTTGTAGTTGTTTTCTTCTTCTTCTTCCTTCTTCTTCTTCTTCGTCTTCTTCTTCTTTTCTCTTCTTCTCCTTTTCTTCCTCTTCCTCCTCTTCTTCTTCGACGGAGTTTCACTCTTTCGCCAAGGCTGGAGTGAAGTGGCACAATCTCGGCTCACTGCAACCTCCACCCGCCGGGTTCAAGCAATTCTCCTGACTCAGCCTCCCGAGTAGCTGGGATTATAGGTGCCTGCCACCACGCCCAGCTAATTTTTGTATTTTTAGTAGAAACAAAGCTTCACCATGTTGGCCAGGCTGGTCTCGAACTCCTGACCTCAGGTGATCTGCCCACCTTGGCCTCCACAAGTGCTGGGATTACAGGTTTGAGCCACTATGCCCAGCCTTCTAATTTGTAGTCTTAAATCGCACTCTGTGGTTTGGGTGCTGTCTTGAGTTAGATTGTAGGCCTATGTGAACTTGAGTGTTACTTACCTCCTCACAAGACCTTTCTCACTTAGCCTTGAGTTTCTGTTTGGAGTCCCGTGGATTAAGGATGGTATGAATCTTACTGCTAGTCAAGTCAAATTGATCACCTGGAAAAGCCTGAGATAGTCCATGAATTTAAGCAAATTGTAATTTAATTATCTATCTAAATATGAACATGATTTTGCTTACAAAATATTGTCAATTCATGTATAATCAAGGACCATTATATTTGGTGTATAAGATTGTTTTGTCTTTTGTTTTCTGGGCAGTTAGGAAGGAGAGAGGGAGAGAGGAATGTGTGTGTGCATGCATGTATGTGTTGTGACAGAAAAGACAATATTCCCTTATTTCCAATATCTGATTGCAAATTCCAATTTACTTATTCTTTACAAGTAGATAATTTTAAAAAATTGATAGATGAATATTAATGAAGTCCAACTTACCATTCTGTTTTCTTATGGTTAGTGCTGTTTGTGCCCTGTTTGACAATTATTTGCCTACCTACCTACCTCAAGATCAGATGTTTATCTATCAGAGAAGATATTCTCCTACATATTATTTTCTAGAAATTTGTTTTTTTTCATATTTAGATCCATGATCAAATAGAAATTGAATGTTTATGATTTAAGGTAGCAGATGAGCTTTACAACTAGGGCAATTGTGCTGGAACCATTTATTGACAAAACTTCATTTCTATAAGTCAAGTGACTGAATATGTATCCACTTGTTCTGAGACTCTATAGGCTGTTCGACTGATCAATTTATCAACTCCCTACCGATATCATTCTGTTTTAATTTCTGTAGCTAATTTGTCTTGATTTCTGGCAGAATAGACTCTCTTACTGTATTCTTTAAAATCAGCTTGTCAGTTTCTACAGAAAAAAAAAATCCCTGATATTATTTTTACTGATATTATACTGAGCCTATATAGCAACGTGGAAGAGAAATGACATCCGTAAAATAGTAAGGCATCTAATTCATGAACATTAAATAACTTTTCATGTATTTTGGTGTTCTTTAGTTTATCTCAGTAATATTTTCTAGTTTTCTGAGGAATGTTGTGTATCTCCTGTTATTTATTCCTAGATATCTAATGTTGTTTGAATTCCAATTTCAGTGGTTTCAAAAATTTATTTATTTATTTTATAATTGTTGTTAGTATATGCAAATGCAATTGATTTTTATATTTCACGTCTTAATATTCCCCTTTTATTCCTAAAATTTTGGGATTATTCTTTAAAATATTTTAAACCTTTTCTTCATGCTGTTTTAATTGATGAGTTAACATTGTACGTATTCCTTTGTACAGCATATTTTAAAATAAGTATGCATGGTGGAATGGCTACATCAAACTAACATATGTATTTCTTCAAACACCTTTTTTTTGTGGTGAGAACACTTAAAATCTACTCTTAGTGATTTTCAAGAATATAAGACATTGTTACTAATGATAGTCAGTGTGTTATACATTAGAATTCTTAAACTTATTACCTCTAGCTAACTGAAATTTTGTATCATTTGACCAAACAACATCTCTCCAGTCCCCGTCCCAGCCCCTGGTAACCATCATTTTCTTCCGTGCTTCTTTGAGCTCAATTTTTTTTTATTCTATATATAAGCTACATTATGTAATATTTGCCTTTCTGTGCCTGGCTTATTTAATGTAATGACTTCCAAGTTCATCCATGTTGTCTCAAATGATAGAATTTCTCTTCCTTTTTAAAGGTTAATAGTATTCCGTTATGTATATATATCATTTTTCTTTACTCATTCCTTGATGGTCACATAGGTTGATTCCATATCTTGACAACTGCAAATAATGATGCAAGGAATATGAGAGTGCAGAGTTCCATTTGAGATATTGACTTCATTTCCTTTGGATATATACCTAAAGTGGAATTACTAGATCATATGATAGTTTTATCTCTATTGTTTAGAAAAACTTCCACAATATTTTCAGTATTGGCTGTACTAATCTAACTAACACTTGTCCAACTAACTGTCTAACTAACAGAGTCCAACTAACACTTGTTTTGTCTTTAAGTAGCCATTCTAACAGGAGTGGGGTGATATCTTGTTATAGTTTTCACTTGCAATTCTCTGATGATTAGTGATGTTGAACATTGTTTCACATATCTGGCCATTTGTGTAACTTCTTTTGCTAAATGTCTATTCAGGTTCTTTGTCCACTTTTAATTGGAATATTTAAGTTCCTTATATATTTTGCTTTCTATTAAGTTCCTTATATATAGGATATTAATTCCTTACTAGATATACGGTTTGCAAGTATTTTTTCCCTAATCCATGAGTTATCTCTTCACCCTGTTGATTGTTTTCTTGGCTATGCAGAGGCTTTTTAGTTTCATGTAATCTCATTTGTCGATTTTTGCTTTTCTTACCTGTGCTTTTGAGGTCATATTCAAAAAATCATTGCCTACACCAATGTCATAGAATTTTCCTCCTATTTGTTCTTCTAGTTGTTTCACAAGTTCAGGTCTTCTGTTTATAAATTTATTCTAGTTTGAACTGAGTTTTGTATAAAATGTTCAGATAAGGGTTTAATTCCATTCTTCTACATATGGATATACAGTTTCTCCAACACTATTTATTTAGGAGGCTACTCTTTCCCCATTGTATATTCTTGGCACATTTGTTGAAAATAGACTGTAAATGCATGACCTTATTTCTGAGCTCTATATTCTGTTTCATTGATCTGTTGTCTGCTTATACATCAGCAGTATGTTGCTTTGTGTAGCATCTTTTGAAAATGGGCAGCCTAATATTACCAGCTTTGTTCTATTACTGAAGATTGCTTTGGCTATTTGGGGCCTTTTGTGTTTTCACACAAATTTTAGGATTTTTTTCTATTTCTGCAAAAAATACCTTTGGAATTTTGATAGAGATTGCATTGAATCTGTACATTTCCTTGAGTAATGTATTTTAACCATACTCTTCTAATTTATGAAAATAAGATATCTTTTCATTTAGTTGTGCCTTCAATTTTTTAAATTAATGCTTTTAGTTTTTCATGTGTATAGTTATTTTACCTCATTGGTTAAATTTGTTTTCGAATATTTTAGTCTTTCTGATACTATTATAAATGAGATCATTTTCTTGATTTTCTTTTCAGATGGTTAATTATTTATGTAGAAATGCTACTGGTTTTTGCATGTTGACTTTGTGTCCTGAAACTTTGCTGTCCAGTAAGTCCTCATTTAACACCATCAGTGGCTTTCAGAAAGAATGACTTTAAATGAAATGACATATGACAGGTCCTTGAATAAAGTAGATTCCTTCAATGTTGTTTAATTATAATGTTGAGAAAAAATGGTTTCATTATAGGTCATTTCACTTAAAGTTGCAGTTTCCAAGAATCTTTTGACAAGATTGAGGCCTTGCTGTATTCATTTATTTCTTCTAGCAGGTTTTTTTTTTTAACAGATCTTTAAAGTTTTCTGTATATAAAATCGTATTATCAGTAAATAGTGACAATTTCACTTCTTTCTCTCCTGTTGAATGCCTCTTTTTTCTTTCTTTTGCCTCATTGCTTTGGTTAGAATGGTCCAGTACTATGTTGAATAGAAATGATGAGAGTGGGCTGGGTGTGGTGGCTCACACCTGTAATCCCAGCTACTCAGGAGTCTGGGGCAGGGGAAATCACTTGAACCTGGTAGGCAGAGGTTGCAGTGAGCCGAGATCGCACCACCGCACTCCAGCCTGGCAACAGAACGAGACTCCATCTCAAAAAAAGAAAAGAAAAGAAAGAAAGAAATGATGAGAGTGAGCAGCCTTATCTTGCTCCTGGTCTTAGAGGAAAAGCTTTCAACTTTTCACCAGTAAGGATGATGTCAGCTGTGGGGTTGTCACACATGGCCTTTATTGTGTTGAAGTATATTCCTTTGAAACCTAATCTACTGAGATATTTTATTATGAAACTATGTTGAATTTCATCAAGTGCCTTTTATGCATCTATGAAGATGATCATCAGAGTTTTGTGCTTCATTCTGTTAATGTGGTATTATCACATTTACTGATTTGTATATGTTGAATCACCCTTGCATCCCTGGGATAAGTCCCAGTTGATCATGGTGAATGATCATTTTAATGTGTTTTTGAATTTTGTTTTTAATGTGTTTTAGTATTTTGTTGTGAAATTTTGTATCTGTATCAGGGATATTGGCCTATAATTTTCTTTTCCTGTAGTGTCCTTGTGTGGATTTGGTATCAGGGTAATGCTGGCCTCATGAAATGGGTTGGGAAATATTGCTTCCTCTTAGATTTTTTTGAAGAATTTGAGAAAGATTAGTATTTATTTATTCTTTTATTTTTATTTTTGTAGAAATAGGTTCTCACTCTGTTGCCCAGGCTGGAGTACCGTGGCTATTGACAGGCATAATCATAGCATCTTACAGCCTTGGACTCCTAGCCTCAAGTGATCCTCTTGGCTCAGCCTCCCAAGTAGCTGGGACTACAGGTGCATGCCACTACGCCCAGTTCTTCTTTAAATATTTGGTAGAATTTATCAGTAAAGACATCAGGTCCTGGGCTTTTCTTAGATGTGATACTTTTTCATCGCTGAATCAATGTTTTTCTTCGTTATTGACCTCTTTGGATTTTCTTGATGACTCAGTCTTTGTAAGTTGTTTGTATCTAGGAATTTATCCATTACTTTTAGGTTATCAAATCTATTGTTGCTTAGAGTCTCTTATGATCCTCTTTGTTGGTGGTATTTCTTCTTTCATTTCTGATTTCATTTGGGTCTTTTTAGAAGTCTACCTAAAGATTTGTAGATTTTATTTTTCTAAAAAATCCCTAGTTTTGTTGATTTTTAAATTATTTTTCTAGTCTCTAATCTCTATTATTTTCTTCCTTAAGCTAACTTTTGGACTTAATTTGCTCTTTTTGTAATTTCTTGAAGTGTAATATTGGGTCATTTACTTAAGGTCTTTCTTGATGTACACATTTATCACTGTAAACTGTCATCTTAAACTGCCTTTGCTGTACCCCATGTTTTGGCATGTTGCATGCCCATTTTCATTTGTTTCAAGGTATTTTATGATATTCCTTTTAGTGGTTTTACAGTAGCAAGTTGTTTCATTTCTATGTTTTTTGTAAATTTTCTAAATTTTCAACTGTTATTGATTTCTAGTTTCATACCGTGTGATCAGAAAAGATAGCTGATATAATTCCAATCTTCTTGAATTTGTTAAGGCTTGTTTTGTGGTCTACCCTAGAAAATGTTCCATGTGTGCTTGACAGAAATGTATATTCTGTTGCTGTTAGATGGAATGTTCTATATACGTCTTGTGAGGTCCATTTAGTTTAAAGTGTAATTCAAGTCAGTTTGAATGATCTGTTCATTGCTGAAAGTGGGATATTAAAGTCCCCTACATAATTTCAGTGTACTCTATTTCTCCCTTCTGATCCATTAATATTTGCTTTATCTATTTAGGTGTTCCAATGTTAGGTACATATATATTTACAAATGTTATATCCTCTTGATTAATAAGTCTCTTTATATAAATGATGTTCTTTGTCTCATTTTGCAGTTTTTGACTTAAAATCTACTTTATCTTATATAAGTGCAGCTATCTCTGCTCTCATTTTTTCTTCTTACATGGCATATCTTTTTTTATCCCTTCACTGTCAATTTGTAACCTTAATAGTGAAATGCTTCTACTGTAGGCAACATGTAGTTGTGTATTTTTCCCCCCAATTCAGCCACTTGGTCTTTTGATTGGAAGATTTATTTACATTGAAACACACCCAGCTAATTTTTGTATTTGTAGTACAAATTTTTGTATTTTTAGTATTCACTATGTTGGCCAGGCTGGTCTCAAACTTCTGACCTCAGGTTATCTGCCTGCCTCAGCTTCCCAAAGTGCCAGGATTACAGCCATGAGCCACTGTGCCTCGCCTACTACGAGGTTTTAGTTTGTATTTACTATGAGGCTTACATAAAACATAATTATAACTGGCTATTTTAAGCTAATAACTTTGATTGCATAAAC
This sequence comes from Homo sapiens, assembly GCF_000001405.40. NCBI lineage: Eukaryota > Metazoa > Chordata > Mammalia > Primates > Hominidae > Homo > Homo sapiens. The sequence continues at coordinate 152,664,387 of NC_000005.10, read as the reverse complement.
AATTCTACACTTTTATTTCACCTGCTCCCAAAATTTTATGTTTTCAATGTCACAATATACATTTTATATTGTGCATTCCCTTTAAATTATTGTAGATACTATTTTTTGTATTTTCGTATTTTTCCTTATACTAAAAATATGTGATTCACATACCACCGTGGGCATATTCTGGAAAAAAAAAGTGTACTTACTTTTACCAGTGAGTTATATGTTTTCATATGTTTTCTTATTGATTTCCATCCTTTTCCTTCAGCTTAAAGAATTTCCTTTAGCATTTCTTGTAAGGCAGATCTGGTGGTAATGAACTCTCTCAGCTTTTGTTTGGCCGGGAGAGTCTTTATCTCTCCTTCATTTTTGAAGGACATCTTTGCCAGAAAAAAATATTCTTGATCATAGTTGTGTTGTTTTGCTTTGTTTTTCTACAATTTTTTAACATATCGTTTCCTCGATGGTGAGGCTTCTGCTGAGAAATATGCTTGCCTTATTGGAACTCCATTATATCTAATATGCTTATCTTTTGCTGCTTTTGAGATCCCCTACTTATCTTTGATTTTTGTTAGTTTGATTATAAAATATGCCTTGGAGTTGTCTTGTTTGGATTAAATCTTCTTGGACACATTTGACGTTCCTATCCCTGGATAGGTATATCTTTCCCAATATTTGAAAAGTTTTCTGCTATTATTTCTTTAAGTAAGCTTTCTGCCCTCTTTCTCTTCTCCTACACAAACTCCAATAACGAATATTTGCTCTTTTTATGCTGCCCCACAAATCCGTAACTTTTTAGAATGAAGAAAGCCTTCTTAATTTCTTTTCATTCTCTTCTCTTTTTTCTCCTCTAATTGTATATTTTCAAATAATTTTCTTTGAGTTTACTGATTCTTCTGTATCATCAATCCGCTATTGCATGTTGACATGTTCTATTGCTTTTAAAATTTCATTTTATGGTTTTTGGTTCCAGGATTTGTTTGATTTTTTTAAAGTGCTTTGATCTCTGTTAAGTTTCTAATTTTGGTCACTTATTCCTTGAGTTTTTTCCCTGTATTTGATGCTTACTGAACTTCCTTAAAACAACCAGGTTACATTCTGAGAAATGTGATGTTATGCAATTTTGTCATTTATGTGAACATCAGAGTGTACTTATACAAACCTAGATGGTATAGCCTATTGCTCCTAGGCTAAAAACCTTTATAGCATGTTACTGTACCATAGGCAGTTGTAACACAATTGTATGTATTTGTGTATCTAAACACAGACAAGGTATGGTAGAAATATGGTATGAAAGATTTTTAAAGTGGTATGCTATTTTAAAAATCTAGAGGCCACTTGCTGTGAATGGGGACTGCAGGACTGGAAGTGGCTCCGAGTGAGTCAGTGATTGGTGAAGGCCTAGGACATTATTGTATACTACTGTAGACTTCATAAACATTGTACAGTTAGGCTACACTAAATTTATTTTTTAAATTTTCTTTCTTCAGCTTACTGTAACTTTCTACTTCATAAATTTTAAATTTTTTTAACTCACACTTACGTTTATCACAAACACCTTGTACAGTTGGACAAAAATATTTTCTTTAAATCATCATTCTATATGTGTTTATTTTTTTTTTGTACTTTTTAAATGTTTTTGTTAAAAACAGACATATACATTAGCCTAAGCTTATACAAGGTCAGTATCATAAATATCACTGTCTTCTACCTCCATATCTTGTCCTACTGGACTGCCTTTGGGAGCAGTAACATGAATAGAGATTTCACTTCCTAGGATAGCAATGCCTTCTTCCGGAATACCTCTATCAATAACATATTTATTATCTTTGTCAAATATTTTGTACTATACGTATGTGCAATACTTTTATATACTGGCAAGGCAGTGGGTTTATTTACACAAGCATCACCACAAACATATAGTGCATTGTGTTACAAAGTTATGATGGTTACAGTATCACTAGGCAATAGGAATTTTTCAGCTCCATTATAATTGAAGGGAGCACTATCATACATGTGCTTCATCATTGACCAAAACGTCCTTATGTGGTGCATGACTGTCCTTTGTCAGGCAGTTTGTATGTCTCCAATTTTTAGAAGTTAGCTATTGGGAAATTGTATTCTTTTGATGGTATTATATCTCCTTGTTTTTTAATGTTTTCTCATTGCTTTATATTCATGTTTGTGTGTTTGAAGAAGTAGGAACTTATTGTAGTGCTTGCAGACTGGTGAAGGGCTTTCCCAGACAATGCCAATCACCCTGTCCTGATATTCTGAACAGACTATCAGATGTGGTCCATCAGCAGGCAGGAAGGTCTGGCACCTGAATCTATGTCATTGGACCTAGAGACTGTACCCATGGGGGTTGGCCTGAAGCCTGGATCTACAGAAGCGTGGGGGTAGGCCTTGAGCCTGAGTCTACAGGGGCCAGCCTGGAACCAAGGTTTATTGGAGGAAACCTGGACCCTGCTACTAGGGAAGTCATGAAGTCTGAGTCCACAGAAACTGGCCTAAAGGTTTGGTTTGTAGATGCTGGCCTGAAAGCTAGGAAACAGGGTCCACAGGGGCAGTTCTGGAGCCTGGATTCTTTGGGGCTGTGCCAGCAGTGGGGTCTACTGGAATGAACTTAGACCCTAGGTCTTCTAAAGTGGAGATCTACAAGAGCAACTCTGGTACTGGGTGGATCCACCAAAGTGATCTGGAACTTGGAATGGGCCTGAAGTCTGGGTCCTCAAGTGCCAGCCTGATGGCTAGGGAGTGCTGTTGCATGCCTCAGGGTGTGGAGGGCCTTGTAACTGGGTCTGTCAGGAAAGCCTGTAGCTACAGGATCCAGCCTGTGCTGAAGCAGGCCAGGATGCTCTGTCCACAGGTACAAGCCTGAAGTCTATGGCCATGGGGGCCTGCCTAGTGCTAGTCTAAGGTTTTAATTGGGTCCCAGGAAAATTCTAGTGCTTACTTTCCTGTTCTTCCCTTCAGTAAATGGTATTTATCTCTATGCTGTGCTGCCTGGTCTTGTGGGGACAGGTGACATGGGTAATTTGAAACTGTCCTTTCTACCGTCTTCAATGTATCTCTTATTTCTGTGCTACACCAGATGCTGTAATCTCTCATCTGCTGTAATGTTTAAATCATTTAAAAATGTCAGTACTTAGAGGAAAAATTATCTAAGGCCCATCTTCAAATTGTTTGAGAACATTAATGTCATAACCACTTTGAGAACTACTGCATTTGAAAAGTTTAGAGGATATATCTGAGTTCCCATAGATATTGGCACATGCAACCCCTCCTGGGTGTTTTCAGTAATGTACATTCTTTAGGCACTGAATTTAATATGTTCTTTTATACCTTAGAAATCTTCAATGAAAACATTGTACTTCTATTATTGTAGCTATGCAAATTCATCAGGTTTGTATTCCAGCTTCATGATTTTATAGCTTTATGATATTGGGCAAACTGATTTCTCCATCCTCAGTTTCTGTGGGGGAATGAATGCTAGAAAGTCCTATTCCAACATCTTGCCTTATTTTCTCTAAAATTTACTTTTAAATGTATATACATGAAGATTCTCAATGTACATAAGCATGTTATCTGCAAATACTACTAGTTTTACTTCATTTTTTCAAATCTTATGCCAGTTATTCTTCTTTCCTACTGCACTGGCTAGAAGCTTTCGCACATGCTGTATGGAAGTCACAATGTCAGACATCTTCATGTAGTTCCTACACTTGGGGGTAAAAAAAGGCTTTCAGTATGGGACTGTTAAATATAATGGCCACTGCAGGTATTTTTTTTTTAATCATATTGAGGTTCACTTGATTTTATAAAATTTTTCTGCTTTCTTCCATTAATGTAATGAAATGCAATGACTTTCAAATGTAAAATAAATCTTGCATTCCTGGAATAAACCCATCTTGGTTATATTATTTTATGTGTCATTAGATTTTAATATTTTGTTTGGGAATATTGTATCCATGTTCGTTAGAAAACTTGACCTGCAATTTTGGTTTCTTGTAATGCTCTTGTCAAGTTCTATTATGCTTACCTCAGAAGGCAAGTAGGGGAGTTTTTATTTATTTTATATGTCATGGAAGAATGTGTATAAGATTGGTGCTTTGTTTTGCTCTTTCTTTAGCTGTATGGAAGAACTTACTATAAAATTCTATTTTTAATAGAAAATATCTGTATATCAAAAGATGCAGTTAAGTAAATAATGAAAATGCAAGACACAGGATGAAAGATTTTATAACACAAATAGCCACTGAAGAACTCTTAACTAAAATATATAAAGAATTCCTACAAGTTGAATCAGAAAAAAAAAATACAACGTTATAAGGCCCATAGACAAAGGAAAAATAGATGGCATACACTTTGAAAAGCAAAACATGAAAATACCTTTCTCTAGAGAGAAATATGAGAGAAATATAATACTATATTTTAAAAATTTGAAAGAATCTACAAACAAAACTGGAACTAAAAAATGAGTTTAACAAACAAGGTCAGTATTGGGGGAGGAGCCAAGATGGCCGAATAGGAACAGCTCCAGTCTACAGCTCCCAGCGTGAGCAACGCAGAAGACGGTGATTTCTACATTTCCATCTGAGGTACTGGGTTCATCTCACTAGGGAGTGCCAGACAGTGGGTGCAGGTCAGTGGGTGCGTGCACCGTGCGCATGCCGAAGCAGGGCAAGGCATTGCCTCACTTGGGAAGCGCAAGGGGTCAGGGAGTTCCCTTTCCGAGTCAAAGAAAGGGGTGACGGACCGCACCTGGCTGGGAGGGTCCTACGCCCACGCCCACGGAGTCTCGCTGATTGCTAGCACAGCAGTCTGAGATCAAACTGCAAGGAGGCAGCGAGGCTGGGGGAGGGGCGCCCACCATTGCCCAGGCTTGCTTAGGTAAACAAAGCAGCCGGGAAGCTCCAACTGGGTGGAGCCCACCACAGCTCAAGGAGGCCTGCCTGACTCTGTAGGCTCCACCTCTGGGGGCAGGGCACAGACAAACAAAAGACAGCAGTAACCTCTGCAGACTTAAATGTCCCTGTCTGACAGCTTTGAAGAGAGCAATGGTTCTCCCAGCACGAAGCTGGAGATCTGAGAACGGGCAGACTGCCTCCTCAAGTGGGTCCCTGACCCCTGAGCAGCCTAACTGGGAGACACCCCCCAGCAGGGGCACACTGACACCTCACACGGCAGGGTACTCCAACAGACCTGCAGCTGAGGGTCCTGTCTGTTAGAAGGAAAACTAACAAACAGAAAGGACATCCACACCAAAAACCCATCGGTACATCACCATCATCAAAGAACAAAAGTAGATAAAACCACAGAGATGGGGAAAAAACAGAACAGAAAAACTGGAAACTCTAAAAAGCAGAGTGCCTCTCCTCCTCCAGAGGAACACACTTCCTCACCAGCAACGGAACAAAGCTGGATGGAGAATGACTTTGATGAGCTGAGAGAAGAAGGCTTCAGACGATCAAATTACTCTGAGCTATGGGAGGACATTCAAACCAAAGGCAAAGAAGTTGAAAACTTTGAAAAAAATTTAGAAGAATGTATAAATGGAATAATCAATACAGCTTAAAGGAGCTGATGGAGCTGAAAACCAAGGCTCCAGAACTACGTGAAGAATGCAGAAGCCTCAGGAGCCGATGCGATCAACTGGAAGAAAGGGTATCAGTGATGGAAGATGAAATGAATGAAATGAAGCGAGAAGGGAAGTTTAGAGAAAAAAGAATAAAAAGAAATGAGCAAAGCCTCCAAGAAATATGGGACTATGTGAAAAGACCAAATCTACGTCTGATTGGTGTACCTGAAAGTGATGGGGAGAATGGAAACAAGTTGGAAAACACTCTGCAGGATATTATCCAGGAGAACTTCCCCAATCTAGCAAGGCAGGCCAACGTTCAGATTCAGGAAATACAGAGAACGCCACAAAGATACTCCTCAAGAAGAGCAACTCCAAGACACATAATTGTCAGATTCACCAAAGTTGAAATGAAGGAAAAAATGTTAAGGGCAGCCAGAGAGAAAGGTCGGGTTACTCTCAAAGGGAAGCCCATCAGACTAACAGCGGATTTCTTGGCAGAAACCCTACAAGCCAGAAGAGAGTGGGGGCCAATATTCAACATTCTTAAAGAAAAGAATTTTCAACCCAGAATTTCATATCCACCCAAACTAAGCTTCATAAGTGAAGGAGAAATAAAATACTTTACAGACAAGCAAATGCTGAGAGATTTTGTCACCACCAGGCCTGCCCTAAAAGAGCTCCTGAAGGAAGCACTAAACATGGAAAGGAACAACCAGTACCAGGTGCTGCAAAATCATGCCAAAATGTAAAGACCATTGAGACTAGGAAGAAACTGCATCAACTAACAAGCAAAATAACCACCTAACATCATAATGACAGGATCAAATTCACACATAACAATATTAACTTTAAATGTAAATGGACTAAATGCACCAATTAAAAGACACAGACTGGCAAATTGGATAAAGAGTCAAGACCCAACAGTGTGCTGTATTCAGGAAACCCATCTCATGTGCAGAGACACACATAGGCTCAAAATAAAAGGATGGAGGAAGATCTACCAAGCAAATGGAAAACAAAAAAAGGCAGGGGTTGCAATCCTAGTCTCTGATAAAACAGACTTTAAACCAACAAAGATCAAAAGAGACAAAGAAGGCCATTACATAATGGTAAAGGGATCAATTCAACAAGAAGAGCTAACTATCCTAAATATATATGCACCCAATACAGGAGCACCCAGATTCATAAAGCAAGTCCTGAGTGACCTACAAAGAGACTTAGACTCCCACACATTAATAATGGGAAACTTTAACACCCCACTGTCAACATTAGACAGATCAACGAGACAGAAAGTCAACAAGGATACCCAGGAATTGAACTCAGCTCTGCACCAAGTGGACCTAATAGACATCTACAGAACTCTCCACCCCAAATCAACAGAATATACATTTTTTTCAGCACCACACCACACCCATTCCAAAATTGACCACATACTTGGAAGTGAAGCTCTCTTCAGCAAATGTAAAAGAACAGAAATTATAACAAACTATCTCTCAGACCACAGTGCAATCAAACTAGAACTCAGGATTAAGAATCTCACTCAAAACCTCTCAACTACATGGAAACTGAACAACCTGCTCCTGAATGACTACTGGGTACATAACGAAATGAAGGCAGTAATAAAGATGTTCTTTGAAACCAACGAGAACAAAGACACAACATACCAGAATCTCTGGGACGCATTCAAAGCAGTGTGTAGAGGGAAATTTATAGCACTAAATGCCCACAAGAGAAAGTAGGAAAGATCCAAAATTGACACCCTAACATCACAATTAAAAGAACTAGAAAAGCAAGAGCAAACACATTCAAAAGCTAGCAGAAGGCAAGAAATAACTAAAATCAGAGCAGAACTGAAGGAAACAGAGACACAAAAAACCCTTCAAAAAAATTAATGAATCCAGGAGCTGGTTTTTTGAAAGGATCAACAAAATTGATAGACCGCTAGCAAGACTAATAAAAAAAGAGAGAAGAATCAAATAGATGCAATAAAAAATGATAAAGGGGATATCACCACCAATCCCACAGAAATACAAACTACCATCAGAGAATACTATAAACACCTCTATGCAAATGAATTAGAAAATCTAGAAGAAATGGATAAATTCCTCGATACATACACTCTCCCAAGACTAAACCAGGAAGAAGTTGAATCTCTGAATAGACCAATAACAGGATCTGAAATTGTAGCAATAATCAATAGCTTACCAACCAAAAAGAGTCCAGGACCAGATGGATTCACAGCTGAATTCTACCAGAGGTACAAGGAGGAACTGGTACCATTCCTTCTGAAACTATTCCAATCAATAGAAAAAGAGGGAATCCTCCCTAACTCTTTTTATGAGGCCAGCATCATTCTGATACCAAAACCAGGCAGAGACACAACAAAAAAAGAGAATTTTAGACCAATATCCTTGATGAACATTGATGCGAAAATCCTCAATAAAATACTGGCAAAACAAACCCAGCAGCACATCAAAAAGCTTATTCACCATGATCAAGTGGGCTTCATCCCTGGGATGTAAGACTGGTTCAATATACGCAAATCAATAAATCTAATCCAGCATATAAACAGAGCCAAAGACAAAAACCACATGATTATCTCAATAGATGCAGAAAAAGCCTTTGAAAAAATTCAACAACCCTTCACGCTAAAAACTCTCAATAAATTAGGGATTGATGGGACATATTTCAAAATAATAAGAGCTATCTATGACAGACCCACAGCCAATATCATACTGAATGGGCAAAAACTGGAAGCATTCCCTTTGAAAACTGGCACAAGACAGGGATGCCCTCTCTTACCACTCCTATTCAACATAGTGTTGGAAGTTCTGGCCAGGGAAATTAGGCAGGAGAAGGAAATAAAAGGTATTCAATTAGGAAAAGAGGAAGTCAAATTGTCCCTGTTGGCAGAAGACATGATTGTATATCTAGAAAACCCCATTGTCTCAGCCCAAAATCTCCTTAAGCTGATAAGCAACTTCAGCAAAGTCTCAGGATACAAAATCAATGTACAAAAATCACAAGCATTCTTATAGACCAACAACAGACAAACAGAGAGCCAAATCATGAGTGAACTCCCATTCACAATTGCTTCAAAGAGAATAAAATACCTAGGAATCCAACTTACAAGGGATGTGAAGGACCTCTTCAAGGAGAACTACAAACCACTGCTCAAGGAAATAAAAGAGGATACAAACAAATGGAAGAGCATTCCATGCTCATGGGTAGGAAGAATCAATATCGTGAAAATGGCCATACTGCCCAAGGTAATTTACAGATTCAATAACATCCCCATCAAGCTACCAATGCCTTTCTTCACAGAATTGGAAAAAACTACTTTAAAATTCATATGGAACCAAAAAAGAGCCCACATCGCCAAGTCAATCCTAAGCCAAAAGAACAAAGCTGAAGGCATCACACTACCTGATGTCAAACTATACTACAAGGCTACAGTAACCAAAACAGCATGGTACTGGTACCAAAACAGAGATATAGATCAATGGAACAGAACAGAGCCCTCAGAAATAATGCCACATATCTACAACTATCTGATCTTTGAGAAACCTGAGAAAAACAAGCAATGGGGAAAGGATTCCCTATTTAATAAATGGTGCTGGGAAAACTGGCTAGCCATATGTAGAAAGCTGAAACTGGATCCCTTCCTTACACGTTATACAAAAATCAATTCAAGATGGATTAAAGACTTAAACGTTAGACCTAAAACCATAAAAACCCTAGAAGAAAACCTAGGCATTACCATTCAGGACATAGGCATGGGCAAGGACTTCATGTCTAAAACACCAAAAGCAATGGCAACAAAAGCCAAAATTGACAAATGGGATCTAATTAAACTAAAGAGCTTCTGCACAGCAAAAGAAACTACCATCAGAGTGAACAGGCAACCTACAAAATGGGAGAAAATTTTCGCAACCTACTCATCTGACAAAGGGCTAATATCCAGAATCTACAATGAACTCAAACAAATTTACAAGAAAAAAACAAACAACCCCATCAAAAAGTGGGCAAAGGATATGAACAGACACTTCTCAAAAGAAGACATTTATGCAGCCAAAAAACACATGAACAAATGCTCATCATCACTGGCCATCAGAGAAATGCAAATCAAAACCACAATGAGATACCATCTCACACCAGTTAGAATGGCAATCATTAAAAAGTCAGGAAACAACAGGTGCTGGAGAGGATGTGGAGAAATAAATAGGAACACTTTTACACTGTTGGTGGGACTGTAAACTAGTTCAACCATTGTGGAAGTCAGTGTGGCGATTCCTCAGGGATCTAGAACTGGAAATACCATTTGACCCAGCCATTCCATTACTGGGTATATACCCAAAGGACTATAAATCATGCTGCTATAAAGACACATGCACACGTATGTTTATTGCGGCATTATTCACAATAGCAAAGACTTGGAACCAACCCAAATGTCCAACAATGATAGACTGGATTAAGAAAATGTGGCACATATACACCATGGAATATTATGCAGCCGTAAAAAATGATGAGTTCATGTCCTTTGTAGGGACATGGATGAAATTGGAAATCATCATTCTCAGTAAACTATCGCAAGAACAAAAAACCAAACACCGCATATTCTCACTCATAGGTGAGAATTGAACGATGAGATCACATGGACACAGGAAGGGGAACATCACACTCTGGGGACTGTTGTGGGGTGGGGGGGAGGGGGGAGGGATAGCTTTGGGAGATATACCTAATGCTAGATGACGAGTTAGTGGGTGCAGCACACCAGCATGGCACATGTATACATATGTAACTAACCTGCACAATGTGCACATGTACCCTAAAACTTAAAGTATAATAAAAAATAATAATAAATAAAAAATAAAAAAATAAAAAAAAAACAAGGTCTATACACTGAAAACTATAAAACATTGCCAACCAAAATTCAGGATCTAAACAAGTAGAGAGACACACCATGTTCATGTGTTTGTTAGAAGACAGAATATTTTTAATATGGCAGTTCATCTATAGGTTCAATGAAATTCCTATCAAAATCCAAGGAGGTTGTTATTCGTTTAATAAGTAGAGTCTAATAGATATCTGGAAAGGCAAAAGACCTAGAATAGTCAAAACAATAATTTTTGTGGAAAAAAAGAATAAATTGAATGTCTAACACTATCTGATTTCAAAACTTACTAGAAGGCTACAGTAGTCAAGATAGTAAAGTATTGAAATAAAGATAAACATATAGATCAAAAGAACTGGAAAAATACCCAAGAAATAAATCCTGATATTTATGTTCATGTCAATACAATTCAAATTAGTCTTTTTAGCAAATGTACATGTAAGGAACAGAGACCTTTAATTTATATTATACATAAGAGTTAATTCAAACAGCATCATATGTCTAAATATAACAGTTACAAATACAAAACTTATGGGAAAAAAAAAGGAGAAAATCTTTGTGACCTTGGATTAGGTAAAGATTTCTTAAATATGACACCAAAAGCACAGCCATGAAAGAAAAAGATAAATCAGATTGTATCACAATATATCTGATAAATGACTTGTGGTCCAAATATATAAAGAACACATGTAACTCAAGGTTTTTAAATGGGCAAAAGTTTAAAGTAGAAATTTTATTAATGAAAATATACAAATGGCTAATAAACACAAGATGCTCAATAGTATTAGTCTTAGGCGAATACAAATGAAACCACAATGCGATAGCACTACATGCTTATTAGTATGGCTAGAATCAACGAAACTAATATGAAATATTGGTAAGAATGTGAAGAAACTAGAAGCTTCATACATTGCTAGTATGAGAATGTAAAGGTACAACCACTGTTATAAACAGATTGGAAGTTCTTTAAAATGTTAAGGACATACTTACCGTATGGCCCAGCAATTGCACTCCTAGGTATCTTACCAAGGTAAGTAAGTGAACACATATCTCCACAAAGACTTGTATATTCATTGTGGCCCTATTCATAATAACCAAAAAGTAGAAGCAACCAAAATGTGTGAGAACTGATGAACAAAAGTCACACATTGGCATGTTATTCATCCATAAGAAGAAACAAACTACTGATTCACAAACCTCTGTCATTCAAAACCCTCTTTCAATATTTATATCTTCCCCTTTGCAGGACTTGATTTTATGAGACTATTAAGGGTGCAGTGGTATTTCCAGAAAATGCAGGTGGTGACTATTAATTAAACATGGATAAACCTCAAAAACGTTATGCTAAGTGGGGGAAGCTAGACACAAGAGAGCACATATTGTGTGCTTGCAATTTGTAAAATTTCCACAGAAGGCAAATATATACAAACAGAACACAGATTAGTGGTTGTCTCGGGTGGGAGATGGGAATGGGAGTAGACATTAGCTGTAAACAGGCAGGGTGAAATTTTTAGGTGATCAGAAACTTGATTATGGTGATGGTTGCACAACTCTAAGTTGTCTATAAATGATTAAGTGTATACTTATGGTTAAATTTTATGTTATGTAAATAATTATGCCTCAAGGAAAGCATTAAAGAAAGCCCCACCAAATGTGATATCAAATCATATCCACTAATTTAAGAGAATGAAAATTAACTTAGGATAAGAGAATCAAAATAGTGGTTTCCTGGATAAGAGGGTATTAACTGGGAGGGAAAGTTTCTGGGATGCTGGTGATGTGTTTCTCAATCTGGGTGGTGATTACACAGGCATATTCACTTGGTAAAAATTAGTCAAATAGTTAGACTCAAAATGTGTGGACCGTCCTCTATGGATGTTATCATTTAATAAACACTTCACAAAATGAAAACAAAAAAGTGGTTCATTTTAAAAGTAGGAATCCCATTGCAAATCCTAGAATTTCCTCAGACTGTTAGCTCCGCTTTTATTTTAGAATCTTTATTAAGAAGGTTCATGAAAATCATAGGTTAAAAACAAAACTACACCTAGGCAGTTTATTCTCCAAAACCTAGCAGGTTTTTCATGTGCCTGAGAGATATAGTTGATTCCAAACAGATTAGGTTTCCAAGTGAAATCTAGTCTTCCCCTGCAAAATGTTCGAACGCATACATTTTCTGTTTAAGAGTGCCCATTCAGAATTGCTCTCTTTTTAGAATACTAAATTAACACTGGCATGCTTTTTACTATGACATTTTAGAAATCCCCATTCTATATGGCACTTTAAAATGCTCCTATTCTCCATAACACTAGACAAGTGGTGGCAGCAGTCATTTAGGATGATGAAAAGAGTATTACAGTGATTTACAACTAGGGGTCACAGTTGGAGCTCTTGGTGGGGTTGGGCATGTCACACAATCCTTGTCCCTGTGGAAGTCACCATACCAACTTTACCTAATTTACCAGATTATTGTAAAGGTCAAATGAGATGAAGTTTTGCAAGATGTCATTCCATGTTTTCAGTGTCATCCAAGGCCACTTGTTGGTATTATTAACAGCAGCAAATAAATACATGTTATAAAAATTGACTTGCTTTCACTGCTGCAGCTTTTAAAATTGGAGTTCTAATGAGTTCCTTGAAATGTGCTTATCTGCAAATATTATGTTCCTCCATTTGGTGTAGAAATGGGTTCTCTAATGAACTGCAGACCAGTTTGAGTTTGATATAATCCCAGTGGCAGCATAATTCTGCAGAGGGAGATTAGATACAACCATGAAGGTTCTCAACATTATGTTCACCTTCATCACACTTGAGATGGACAACACACACCATGCCATTGATGATACTCCACAGGAAAATGGAGAAAGTGGAGGGGACCCTGGTAAGAGCACCTCTTCCTATAGAACTTGACTACATGCTTTAGGGGTTAAGGGATTCCTAGTTTGAGATGCAGCCCCCTCTCAGGGAAGATTCTGACATGCCATCCTAGGGAGTGTGCCCCTCACTGAGTACAATAATAATAATGACAATAGCTAACATTTCTCAAATACTATAAGCCAGACATTGGGCTACATACTCTATTTACATTTTCTCCTGTTGGTCTTCTACACAGAAACTAAAGAGAATTTTTTGTAACGTAAATTAGATCATATCCTTCCAGTGCTTAAAACTCTCCCATAGATTCCACTTGCATTTTGGGTAAAATCCTCTTACACCTCACCCTATCTACAAGGTCCTGTGTGGTCAGCCCGTGTCTGTCTCTGGCCTCAGCATATACCACTCTTTGTGTGGTTCATTTTGTTCCAGCCACAAGATACAAAGCACTTTTCCAGGAATGTCCTCAATCTTGATAATCATTGTGTGTGCTCACTTTGCTCCTAGCTAACATGACACCTCTACACAAATGCTTTTCCTGACCCTCCCCTCTGAAACAGACTCAAAGAATTTAGTCATTTGCCTGTGGACACATAGAGGGAAAGTCATGATTTGAATCTAAGACCTTCCGAAGTGGAAGTCAAAAGAAAATATCATTGAAGGAATCTGAGTAAGGCTTTATTCTGAAAAAAAAAAATTCAAAACTGAGTTTTGAGTTGAAGCAAAAATCATTCTTGACTCTGGGCTGGGTTTCTTTTATTGAGTCCAGAAGGAACTTAAATTAATAAAATAAGGCCAGTTTTTGGAGTGACAGAAAGGAAGAAAGTTATAAAACGAGATGAAAATAAAGAGAATCTTTCATCTGCCTTCAGGACAGCTCCATTTTTTCTTCTCATTAAAGTAACTGTTGGGCTAATCCCAGATCTTTTTGTCAAATGGGTCCATGTGACATTGGAAACTGAATAAACATACTGACTAATAACAACTGATGAAGGCAAAAGGTGAAATTTCCACTTAGAAATAGTTTTTTCTTTTTGAAATTTCCCAGGAGCAAGGGGTCATCCAGCTGAGATAATTGCTAATTAACATTGGACAATCCAGGCAAGAAGCCAAACCAGTACCCCCAGTGTTGCAATAGGTTGGCCATTGATTGGATTTCTGACTCTTGATTAAATGTCACCAAATGATTAACTGATTAATCCTCAGACCTTTCTGGAAGAGAATCTTGTTCACCATGCTGAGCTATAGCCTGGTAATTCCACAATTCTTTTTTTTGGCATAGGATCCTTTTGGAAAAAGTTTCATGACTCACTATTTTAATTCCTTCCTAATAGCCTCCTTAAGCTTCTGTTCCACTTGATACTGACTAATGTGCACTCTTTTCTTTGCTAAAGATATGACATGGTTAATTTAATGTATTTCTCAGTATCCTTAGCTAACTACAGTAATATTTAGGTAAGAATGCTTTGGACCAAAAAGGTATAATACAAATTATGAATACTTACCTGTAGACTAATTAGAAGGGCAGTGAAGTCAGACTTCTTGGGTTCACAGCCAACTTTAATACTGTCACCTCGGGCAAAGTATTTAACCTTTCTGACTTCCAGATCACTTACCTAACAAAGGTGGACAATAATTGTATCTATCTTAAAGAGCTATTGAAAATTAAATGTTACTAGAATAAGTCCATGTAAAAAACAAGTAGGAATAATAGACTATATGCATCATCCTTTTGCCACGTTTAGCTTCTCCCAGGAGAGTGACTTGGAATATCTTCACTCTTCTGCTAGGCAGAGTTCAAAAGAAGCAGAGACAGATAGTGCTAGCCTGGAATAGACTAAATCTGATAATACATCCTATTTTGTTATTGGAAGATGTGACTTTTCATCAAATGATGGAAGAATAAAAGCAACTACTAATTATTAAGCATTTTCTATGGGCCAGGCACAGTTCTACATACTTTGTATATGTAGATTTATTTAATCTCCCTAAAACCTAATGAAATTAGCATTAAGAGTGGCAAAGGCAGCAGGCAAACTCAGGCCACTGTGCTCCAGAGTGAAGCAATGTAAGAATTCCCATGCACACTCTAAATTCCCACCTGGTCAATCCTTATACTGGTGCACCACATGCCATCACTTCTCACCTTCTCAGGGTCATTTCAGTTTTATACATTCTCTCATCAATTTCTTACCTCTACTGGACTTTTCCATTCAGATCATAAATATGAAATTTTTTTCATTTTAAGACACAAAATGAAAATAACAAAACTCATTTTAACCTACTTTTCTCTCTAGCTGCAGCCCCATTTCTCTGTTCCCCTTAACAGTATAATTCCTAAAAAGACTTTCTGTGGTACTCTCTCCAAAGCCTCTCCTCCAATTTTCTTTAACTCACTCCAATTAGACTTTCACCTATCCCTTGTAACAAATTTTTTCTTTTTAATATCACTATTGCTCTACACACATTGTTAACCCCAGTATTTCATTCTCCTTTTTCATCCCATTTGACCCATCAGTAACATTTGGAACAAGCAGATCCTCCTTGAAACTTTTTTGTTTTTGAGACAGAGTCTCAGTCTGTCACCCAGGCTAGAGTGCAGGCATGATCTTGGCTCACTGCAACCTCCACCTGGCTAATTTCTGTATTTTTAGTAGAGATGGGGTTTCACCATGTTGGTCAGGCTGATCTCCAACTCCTGACCTCAAGTGATCCACCTGCCTCAGCCTCCCAAAGTGCTGGGATTATAGGTGTGAGCCACCCGCACCCAGCCTGAAATATTTTTTTCACTTGGCTTCCAGGATACCTCAATTGTTCTGGTTCAGCTTCTACCTCTTCCAACTTAACTCCCTGTGCTGCTTCCTCCCCTTCTCCCCAGATTCTAAACATGGGAATAAACCAAGCCTCAATCCTTGGTCCTCTTTGCTTCTCTATCAATAGCCATTCTGCTAATCTAATCTATTTGTAGTACATAAATACCACTACCACGTATATGTTGACGACTACCAAATGAGGTATCCCTTGCCCAGAACCCTCTCCCAGTTTAAATAACCACAACTCTTAAAAGGTTGGCATGCCACCTGTGGTCACTGTTTCTTTTTTGCCTTCAGAGTGTTTGAAATCTTTTCCTGGGCAACTCATGTTGATGGCCTTCAGGGTAGATCTCCTATGAAACTTGTCATGTTATGTTAGAAATATCCATATGGCAATTCTCCCGGGCTTTTAATTTGTCTGAGGGCCATTCATGAAGCAAGAGATTGAAGAAATCCTAGCCTAGTAAAGAGGAGAAGGGAACATGTGATTTCAGCTAAGAGAAAGGAGTTTAATCATGGTACAATGCAAATCCAAATGTCTGTCTGCTCAGTTTCATACCACAAATAACTTTTTTAAACCCCTTTTATAGAATTGTTGTTATATTTATTACGGATGGGGACAGAAGGGTTCACAGCAACCAGTCCTTACTCCCCAAGGCAAATGTCCTCTTAGCATTTAAATACTTCTGTCATCCTTGCATTATAATAAGGTCATACTGTTTTAATTACTATTTCATTTATTTAATAGTCATTATTGTTACTGTGTTTCTCCCTTAGAAGAAGAAATGATAGCTTCCATCCTAGTTTATAAAATTAGAGTAGCCTCAGTTTGCTCAGGTATAAAATAGAAAAATATATCTTCACTTCCAAAGGGTAAGTAAACATTATTAAAATACATGGTATTGGGGTTTAAAGATTGGGAAAATATTGGTCAAGGATACAAAATTTCAGTTAGACAGGAGGAATAAGTTTAAGAGATCTATTGTGCATCAGGGTGACTACAATTACTGACAATACATTACATACTTGGAAATTGCTAAAAGAGTAGATTTTAAGAATTCTTAATACCAAAATAAATGACAAATATGTGAGGTAATGCATATGTTAATTAGATGGATCTGGCCTTTCCACAGTATATACGTATATCAAAACATGTTGTATACCATAAATACAGTTTTAATTTGTCGATAAAAAATAATTTATAAAATTAAGTATTGTAAACATACAAAAATCATAATTTGTCATTATAACATATGTGAAACCTCATTTCGCATAAGGAATCATGAACTGGTCCAGCAATCTGAAGCAAAACAATATAAAATATAGAATTTTAGCTACAGTAGACAATTATACTGCCTAATTGCATAGCAAAGCTAAAATGCAAACTCCTAAATTTCAATCCACATCAGGACTATTCATTTCCAGAAAGCAATCTCTTCACTTAAAATAGTTTATATGTAGATGAACTACAATTTTCTACAATTAAAGAGATGGCTCTATTTCTATCTGATAACTTTTTAAAATCCTCCCTAAATTTTAAGAAAAATAAAAAGAATTACATTGCCTAAAAAGACCAAAGATAAAATTTCCGATGACTCCTACCTATTTCCTTTCTCTTGGAGGTTCATGTGCCCTGAAAACTGTGAGGTCAAAGAATGAATGTCAAAGCAACTGTTAATTTAACCTCTGCAGGATGATGAAGGCTTGAAGTATAAGACTAAGGTTATTTTGTAGAGGTTGGTAACCAGTTTCCTTCTAGGAATGTAATATAAGTAGACACAAAGTGCTTCTGAGACGTGTAGCTTATGAAAAAAGAAAATCTGATTTACTTGAGGGGTTGCAAATTCTGATTCTCTGGAAGTCACCATGTACCATCATTATTTTATAACTCTTTAAATCTTCACGTCTTAGTATTATGCCCATTTTACCTAAGAGCTGAGAGTTTAAGCGAATTTAAATACCTTGCCTAATGGGACAGAACCTAACCTCTTTTCACAGTGCAAAAATATTATCTATCAAGATGAGCAAGTATTCTTCTTGGGGAAAAAAAACAGATGAAAATTATCTCCAGACTAACTGACATATTAGTTTGTGTGTATGTCTTAAATATAAGATTTAAACAAATATACACATAGGAAATACACATAGTGGACCTAGGCAATGTGGCCTGGCAGGAGCTTATGTGGAATAAAGGTTGAAACAATTTGACATGCAATTGTGATTATGAGAACATGAGATGTAGAATTCAGATTATAAGCATGTGGAATGTTTCTGGGTGCTATTCATTAAGAAGGACACCATACCACCAAGTTAGTGTTTTGAGAGGAATATTACCAAGAGGAAAAAAAAAGATTTTAAAACTATCAGCCATGGAGTATAATTGAACAACCGAAGGTTATTTAACTAGAAAGAAAAGATTCTAAGGTCTGTGATACCCTCTTTGAATCAAATGAAGGGACTGTCTTGTTAAGGAAAGACTTGTTATGTACATTGTGACAACAAGAATTAAATTTCTGGAAGTTGCAGGGAGTCAGAAATGTCTTTCATATAGTGTGTTTAAATAGAGTAGTTGAAGACATTCAAGTTCAGAAGAGAATTAAGAGTCTTGAGGAGATAGCAAGTCCCCTACCATCTAAGATATAAAAGCAGAAAGAGTTAATGTGGAAAAATTCAAGCACTGGGATTGAATTAGACTAGAGTCCTCTTAAAGATGTCTTTGCTGAGCATATTAAGAATCTTTGATACAGTTTCTTACTCTGGGATTTAGAGATAAATTTGTGGTGACACAGCCTTTAAAAATTATCTAACCTTCTAGTTTTCTAATTGTAAAAGTTAAAAAAAAAATTAGTCATTAGTCTATCAGTCCAAGAGTATATTTAAGGTCAATGGCTTCATTATTTTTCTTGATCACTATATTCCTCTCAAAATGCATCCATTCTAAGTAATTCCTCAAAATAAACCTAACAGATTTTTTCTTCTCAAATGAAATAATATACCTTTAAGTGTCACAATTAACTTCTATGAGATTTTTCATGATTAAATTTGAAGTAAATTGACAACAGGTTCAGCACTCAAAGTATGCTAACCAATGCTAAGAATTGTATAAATGTTAACTTTCCTAACCTTTGGGACTAGAACAACCTTATCCTCATTGTAGGTCATGAAATAGGCTTGGAAAAGTAAAATATTTTGCCAAATAGTAAAGTGACAGTTATGTCTCAATCTCAGATCTGAGTGACAAGGACTTTGTAACTAGGGATAGAAGTAATAGGTCAACCAAGCTGGGAGCCCACCTCACCTTCCAAGTGGCAAATACCATGCCATGGCAGGGGACATATAACTCCATTTGCATTGTTCTGGCAAAAACTCAGGAACAAGGAAAAAAACAAAAATAGTACTGCTGGGTGCCTTGAACAATGACCGTCTGAGAAGCAATGGCAAGATGATCTTATTCAAGCAGTGGCTTGAAGGGAAGTATTGTGTGATGGAATCTCCCTTCAGGGAGGATTCTGAAGCACACTTCTACCCATGTATCTGGCTCACTGAAATCTAAGAGAGGTTTTTTAGATGGGAGTTGAGTTGGAAGGAGGTGCTGTAAAACAGATCCTTCAGAATCTGCCCTGAGTGGGTCTGCCTATTACATTGCAGCCAAGCAGCCATTCAGTAGTGATTTTATTGACTTTACTCACAGTAGGAATAATGACCTTGTCCACAGCTATCCAGTAAACCATTACCTATGCCTGGAGTCATGTGCTTGCACTTATTTGTTTGTTAACTGATTGATTTAATGTATTCCTTTACTACCAGAGGAGGTCACATACCAACATGCCATTATCTGGATGATTTCTTATTCTTATTAAACCATCTTATTTGTTATTATTCTGTTGAAAATTGACTTCACTTATATCAATACTCCTCCCACCCTTTCCCTTCTCAGCTGTTCCCCTCACAGTTCTGGCTTACATTTCCCTAACGTTCCTTATAATTTTGCAATTCAGTCACACCCTTTCTTTCCTTTTGAACGTTGGAAGATCTGTGTTTACAGACTGCTTTTTCACTCCATACTAGGAGGAATATTTTGCTTTTTGCAACAAGTTTGAACATGCTTAAGTAAAAAGAGACTATGATTTACTTTTAAAAAAGCATCACATCAATTAGAAAATTGGCTATAGTACAGAGATAAGTGTCAGACAAATGTAATCTGCTTCTTTCTTATACACAATTGTATATTCATACCATCTGGGGTCAAATTTATATTACCAGGGTCAGAGAGCAAACAATGAGTTATATGGGGGCTACTTGTAGACCATGGTGGGCAGGAGAGTGCTTCTGTCTCTAATTGACTCAGAGCTTGGCTTGAGAGAAAACAATGGAAAAAGGAAAGATGGCATTCTTTGTAATCTGATGGACTTGGTCTTGAAATATCTCTTGCACATTCTGCCTGGGTTATGTTATTAAATCTACCAAAGACCTTATTGTATTTGTATCAAATGCTTTACATGCATTATCGCATTTTGTTCTTAGAACATTCAGTTAGCTAGTATTACTATCCATTTTATGGATGAGGAAACTTCGGTGTAAGCAGTTGAAAGGATTTGCTGCCAAAGTCACATTGCTTGAGAGTGGTGGTTCTATAGTTTGAACCAAAATTTTCTGGCCCACAAAGTTTGTACTCTGCACTTATTATTATTTGCAGTTTCTAAGCGAAAGGGAAATTAAACTCCCTTTTTAGAAAACTATCAGATGATGTTAAGTATGCTAATAATGTTTGTTCAGTGAAAAAAATACCAACTCCTGTTAATTCTCTCAAAAACAGTTGACACAGGAACTCCAGCATTGTGATGCCTAAAACTCTTAGCCTATCTGATTACTCACCTAGAATTACTCACTGATAGGCAAACACATTAACAGGCATTCTAAAATGTCACAGCAGGCATAAAAGTTCTTGAGGGAAAAATGGAAATTGTTGAGACCCCAGACTTAGAATCAATATAGTATCCCTGAATGACTAGGAGATAAATGGGGCCCTGATTACCTAGACAGAAAAGCTGGAGTAGAGAGGAGGAAAAATAGGCATAGTGTAATGAAGAGTGCAACTCCTTTTCTCTGGGGTTGCAGAGAAAAGGCTTGGGTTTGAGCCCTAACTCTTCCCTGGTCTCCTTTAAGTCTCTAAGCTGTGTTCTCTCATTTGCATAAGAACTAATCATTACCATCTCTCTTTAAGTTGCCCTGGGAATCAAATGCACATACTGTGATACTGCTTTGAAAATTACAAAGAAGTAAATAAGAAGTTACAAATGGGAGACCAAGATCCAATCTGCCCCACCGGTGTTTTAAATTTGGCTTGAAAGAGTTGTCCTTCAAAAAAAAAAAAAAAGTCTTGATAATGATGAGCAATGAGAATGCCATTAGACAAGGTATGTCCTCCCCTCTTCACCACTGGCCTCACCAGTCTCAGATTCTTTTTTTTTTTTTTTTTTTTTTGCTACATTTCATGCGCCTGCAGGCATTTGTGTTTTCTCCTCTACTAGATATGGATCATTGTTTAGGATTAAGATGGTATAAGATGAAATTCACTTGTGTCACCAGTATGACTCAATCTTCCCTAAAATACTGACCAGTGGAAGGCCTACACAAAGAATGAGGAGGTAGAGACTTGGGAATGTGAAACTCCCAGGCACACTTCAGCTTAGAAGAACAGCCGCAGAGCAAAGAGTGTGGTTCCATGCGAACTTGCCTGGTCGCCCTAGAGATTGGGAAAGAAGAGGCGAGAGGATTGAAAAATCCCCCTTTTTAGGAATTTCTCAAGTAACAGATGCCACGCCAGCTAAGATAGTGAAAAAAACTAAACGTATAGTGGAGGAATGATGTGAGCGAGGAAAATTCATTTTGGCATCTGAAAGAACTGTTGGTTAAGCAGCAGTAAGAATTTAAAAACCAATCTCTGAAAGGCCTCAAACGAGTGCCTCTGGAGTGTTCTGGCAAGCTGATGAAGAGGACATATGCAGGAATTGCAATT
Source organism: Homo sapiens (assembly GCF_000001405.40). Lineage (NCBI taxonomy): Eukaryota > Metazoa > Chordata > Mammalia > Primates > Hominidae > Homo > Homo sapiens. Next base: position 152,642,218 of record NC_000005.10, on the reverse strand, counting down.
CACATAGCAACTGGCCATTCATCCTGAAAATAAATCTACTCTGGTCGTTATTTATCCAGCAGTTCTCTTTGATTGCTAAATGAATCTGCAGCACCTAATGTGTGTTCCTCAATTCTTTGATGTCTGTAGTCAACCAGGCATTTAATAACTGTCAACAAAGATACTATATTTGAGGAAATATATTCAGTGGAAGATTAAATTAGGCACTGTGGCCAGCCCACCCACCATGCAGAAAAGCATTCTGTGCTAGAAAATAACATTACCATCGTAAGGATGAAAGAGCCAAATGACAGACTTACGCTTTTCCGCCTCAAAATTCAAGGCCTGAGTTTTTAATCCATAAACTAGGATATGTGTGGCTGTACCTGGTTGAAAATACCCTCATGACCACTCCTGGCCCATTTCTTGTTTATCACTGCCTTTGAGACTTGTTTTTGCTCAGTACTTTTCCCTGATTCTCCCCATCCTAATTCCTCAGGTCATAATATTTGGGCAGAATGGTGAAATAGAAAAAAACGCCATAGAGTCAGAACACCAGGACCTGAATAATAATTCCCTTCCCCTGCTCCTATGTAACCTGGTCTTTTCTGGACCTCAGATCCCCCATTGGTAAATGGGGCATTATATAAGTGTATGTGCTATTAGAACCGTAACATGTTACAAATATTGCCTTGTAAGAGTTTTCCTATTGTTTTCGGTATGTGTGGTTTATTAAAAACTTAATTGACCTATGAATGAAGGACTAGTCCAAGGAATAGAGCTAAGATAAAGGAAAAGAAAAAACATGTTACATATATTCAATTCCATGTAAGAGAGATTCCACACATGCAAAGGAAAATACAGAATTTAGAATTCAAATAGTTATGGGTTAAACAAGAACAGCTCTAGTTGACACGATTGAACTGTGTCTCACGGCAGAAGCTGTTTATAGTTGCACCATCTTTGCACTACCAGCCTAAAGTTGGTGGTATTCAACCAAAAGTTATTAAATTTGCAAATTAGGGAGCTAAGAATGAATCCACAGTAGATTTAATCATCTTATCTCTGTAGGCCCCCTGGAATGTTAAGACAATTGTTTGTCAACAAATTTGGCCCAGTGATAAAATAATATTAATAGCTACTAAGAAAATTTCAGACTGTAAGTATTGAGAGAGCTATATGCTTTCTAGCACTACGTGGCTTTTCCATGCGATTCTATTCCCTACAGTATTTGAAGGAACTATAGCATTTTCAGAAATAGTGCTGTTATGCAATTGAAAAATCCATAATATTAGTTTGAATGTTTTTCTTAATATTTTTTTGAGATAGGGTCTCACTCTGTTGCCCAGGCTGGAGTGCAGTGGCATGATCTTGGCTCACTGTAACCTCCAATTCCTGGGCTCAAGCAATCCTCCCACTTAAGCCTCATGAGTATCTGGGGCTACAGGTGCACACCACCATGCCCAGCTAATTTTTTGCAGAGATGGGGTTTTGCCATGCTGCCCAAGCTAGTCTCGAACTCCTGGGCTCAAGCAATCTATTTGCCTCGGCCTCCCAAAGTCCTGAGATTACAGGTGTGAGCCACCGCATGATTTATTTTTTGGTTTATCTATGCTGTTTATTTCCTTAGACTATAATAAAAAACAGCTAACATTAATGAGACTTATTTGATATCAAACACTGTATACTTTAAAGTATTTATATCAGCCTCTTAATTTCCAAAACCAACACTTTTACAGATGAGAAAATGGAAACTTAGAGAAGTGAAGGGCCATATCCAAAGTCCTAGAGCTAATAATTGATACAGTCAGTATATGAACCCAGTTCTGTATAATTTTCTCAGGGAGTTTTTGTGACCTGAGTTGTTTTGTCTCTAGCATTGTTCTTCCCTCTATGGAAATAGAACTTCTACCAAGAGAAGAGATCAAGCAGAGTGCCTATGGCCCATCACTGGGCATCTTCACTTGGCATCTGAAGGCACCTATGGATTATTTAAAACCTGTTTTGTCCTTCTCTCACCATGGAAACCAACTAGAACTTGAGTCCAGTGCTTAATCTGATCTCTACTAAATTTCTCAGCCTTCTGCCCATATATTTTATTGTCCCCATTTCTTAGACTTCCAGTGTTTAAACTCACTTATTGGGGAATTTTTCAAAGACACTAAGATTTGATTATCAATAGGCTATATGTATTGATGATCTGAAAGGGAAGGACGTGCCTGTCTTAGGATGAATTCTAGTTACACAGCTGTCTGCAAGCCTGCATTACGTAACTATGCAATGAAATATGGTCTATCTGATATGGATAAATGTTTTCTATATTTGATAGTTGAGAAAATTATTTTATGTGAGACTTTTTTGAGAACAAATGTTTAGAACAGTTATCATTTAGCCTTACTAGTCTAGCTATGCTAAAGAAAGCAAACTTTTGACTATACACCCAACTATTTTGTACAGGCTGTTAAGACAACCAAGTGTTTTATACATTATCTTCTTTCCACTGGGAAGTTACTTCTTAAATAAGAACAGCGAAAGCATGTATTCTGAGATTTTTCTTTAGACAGTATAAAATTTCAATATTTTTTATAAAAATGGAACAATGTTAATGAAGAAACTGTGTTGAATACCTGAACTCAATTGAAGGCTGGGGAATTGCTTTTCCGTTAAAAATTACACCTGCTCATCACTTGACATTTTACCCCTACCCTCTTAATTCCCATGGTCTCAGAGCTTCTGTAATTGGCATCACAGATTTCCTATTTAGTGACGAGCCTGAGATCTCCAATATCCAAATTTGTGGCACATCTGAAATGCGCAGTTTGGCTGTTTCAAAGAACCATCTGGATTGATTCAGCTGGGAAGCATCTGGGTAGATTGGTTATGGGCCAGGTTTTTAAAAATACACTGGATGGAGTTGCCTTTCAACAGTCTGGTTATTTTTGTCTTACAGACTTGGACATGAAGTCATAAATTAGGAAATAGTCTCAAAGGGCAGAAATCTTTACTTCTGTGGGTAGAGTCCTCTATTCTAGTCCTGACTTACTATTCAGGAAATTCTTCTCCACCTGTAATAAAACTTTTATTGCTTTATTTTAGCAGAGAGAGGGAAGTCTTCCAGGTAGTCCTACAAAGTTGTGAAATTATCACAATAAAACCATCACATATGAGTTTGTGTTAACTGGAGATTTCATATAACTGAGAGTTGGCTAAAAAAAAAGTGATGATTTATGTTGATAAATCTCTCTCCAAAATGTGTGATTTCACTCTCTCGGCATAGTAACCTTTACTGTTCTTTCTGTTCTTCAGTGGTCCTATTTTCATTTGTGGTAAGTAGTTGGGTTCCTTTGCTCTGGCCCATTTCAAGTATGAGTACTGACTTCCTAAAATGGAGAGTCATGAGTAATGGAGCATCCTGTGCTATTTTATTTACATTCTACCTAGCATCCCAGGAGAACCATTCAAGACATGTCTTCATTCATTCAGCCTCGCTTAGCCATATTTTTAAGAATCTGATTGACAAAGTTTGGCCTGAATAGAACTCTGGAGATCAAAGGGAACTCATCTGAGACAATTTAGAACTTCAAATGGTACATCTCATAAGTCATCATCCACAGAGTGTCCATGCACCTCTGAACCTCCCTCTAAGAAAGGTATCCACTTCTGACTTGCTTGGTCTTCCTCATCTCAGAAAATGTCAGCCACTTCCATCTGTTTCTCAAGCCACAAACCTAGGAGTCATTCTAATTTTTACCTCTCCTAGAATTGCTAATTCATCAGTAAGTCTTAACCCTCTGCCTCCAAAATATATCCCCAATATATCTACTTCTCACCAACTTCAGTGCAATTAATCTATTAAAATGACAATTATCTCACCCGCAGCAGCTTCTTATCTATTCAAGTTTTCAATCTTGCCTCCTTACCATTATTTTTAAAGCAAATAAAAACATCACAATCTTATACTCATGAATCACCACTAAGAGGATACTTTAATATACATCTTTGTGGATCTCTATCCATGCATGTACATATATGTGGGTTTTTTTTTTAAACCAACGTGACAGCATAGTGTTCCTGTTTTGTAAATTGTTTCCAGTGGATAATCTCTCTCCATTTAATAATTTTTTAATTGCTTCAATTATCCTCAATTGTCTTTTCAGCTATTTTCCCCCATTCCAGACTCACTCATTGTACCTTGTTGTCATTTAAACCTCTCAATCTAGTATAGTCTTTTTTAAGTTTCCAACTTATTAAAAACCCTGGGCTGATTTTCTTAACATCCTTTCTTCACAAAGAAGTCTGACTTTTGTTTCTGCAATGTAAATTACATCCATTCACCCTCCATCTTCAATATATTGACGGCATCTCTCTGCATGTAGAGTAAAACCTGAAGACTTACTATGGCCTAGAAGGCCTTATGATCTGGCCTTTGCTCACCCTCACTGACTTTATCTTCTAACTCTTCCTTCCCCTGCTCACAAAGATCCAGTCATAGAGGCCTCATCTCAGATGTGTGAAAACACTAAGCTTTTCTTACTCCAGCCCCTTTGTACTTGTTTTTTTCTCTGCCTGAAAACTTCTTCTCTCTGATCTACTCACAGCCTTCAGGTCTCAGTTCAAATAGCACTGCTTCTGAAAGGCTTTTCTCATGTTTTGATAGGAAGTTGTCATCTTCCCCAAACGTTGGTATCTCCCACCACCCTGCATTTATGTCCTTGTACTGTTCCCTCCTAAACCAACTCTAGGCTTACCCGTGTGACTTAATTTTGCCAATGGCACATTAAAAAAAAAAAAAAAAAAACCATGATGAGGCCGAGCATGGTGGCTGAAGCCTTTAATTCCAGCACTTTGGGAGGACAAGGCAGGGCAGATCACCTGAGGTCGGGACTTTGAGACCAACCTGGCCAACATGATGAAACCCCATCTCTACTAAAAAGTACAAAAATTAGCCAGGTGTGGTGGTACATTCCTGTAATCCCAGCTACTGGGGAGGCTGAGGAAGGATAATCGCTTGAACCTGGGAGCTGGAGGTTGCAGTGAGCTGAGATTGCACCATTGCACTACAGCCTGGGTGACAAAGAACAAAACTCTGTCTCAATAAATAAAACCATCATGACCACATATGCTTTAGGGGCGTTTGCATATTGTGGCTTGTGCTCTTGGTGTCCCACTGCCGTACTATAAAACAGCTTGGGAAGGAACACAGCACGGCAACAGGATGAAAAGACCTTGAGAATGAGACACCATCTTGGTTGTTCTAGCCCCAGCTGACTTCCCAGCTGAATGCAGTTGCATGAAAAGCTTCAACTACAGCACAGGGAGGAGGAGAACCACTCAGTTGAGTCCAGTCAACCCACAGAACCATGAAAATAAATTTTTGCTTTAAGGAAGTAACTTCTTGATAGTTTTACTTTGAAATTGTAACTAAGACTATTCTTTTTCTGAAGTACTTCATAGCATTTAGCACCATATGAAATAATCAGGCAGTCCTATTACCTGGTTATCAATCCATCTCCTGCTATCATAAGATCCATGGGAACAGAAGTTTTGCCAGGTTATTTAACTTCGTATGTATCTTCAGTGCCTATGACAGTGTCTGGCACCTAGTAGGCACTGAATAAAATGTGTCTGGTAAATGAATGGAAAGTTCCAAGGCTCTTAAGTATTAGAAAAATGTATAAAATACTGGAGCTGAAGTTGATTCAGAGACCATCTAGGCCAATTTTTCTTGTTATTGGTGAGGAGATGGGAGCTCAGAAAGGAAAATGATACACATTGTTTAGAGCAAGGCCTATTCAATAGAAAACAATCTGCAAATGTCGTCTTCTGGAAAGCAAAATACTCAGATCCAAGAATACAAAAGCCTCTGAAAGCATTCAAAGAAAGGTGATACCTGCAAATTACAAATTTCAGACTGGAAGTGTTCTGAATTTGGAGTCAATTTGCTGAACTTTTTTTTTTTTTTGCCTGCATTTTCCCCCTTTATTTCAAAGATGCATTTTAAAAAGTGATGATTCTACTTTGAGAAATCTTACATCAAGTAAGATGTGAAAAATACTGTTCCATGTTTGGAAATACAGATGCCATCTTTTATCACAACAAAGAAAAATCCCAAGTAATATTTTCCTTTTCCAAATATACAACTTAATACAATACAGTAAAAGTGTTTGATTTCTTAACTTGCTAATTGAAGACATACTAGCAAATGGAAGAATCTGCAATAATTAATATTCCTTTGCCTTGATTCTATTAGTTATTTTGATTTAATGTTATTATAAAGATTTTAAACTTTTTTGTATATTCGGTACATCAAAATATTGAAGAGTTAACAAAAATAAATGATTTTGGTTCTTTCTCTTGTTATTTTAATTTTTTGGAGATAGGGTCTTGCTCTGTTTCTGAAGCTGGAGTGCAATGGTGCTATTGTAGCTAACTGCAGCCTCAAACTACTCAGCTCAAGCGATCTTCCTGCCTCAGCAGAGATCTGTAGTAGTTCTCTGTGATACTTGGGAATGTGGCCTTTCACAGGCGCTTGCTCTTTTTGTGCATCCTCTGAGCTGGGATCATTGACTCTAATTATTGATCCAGATCCCACTTGGACTGATTGCTTGGTGATGACATAGACTCCCACGGAAGTCTGGATTCCCAACTCCTATTACTGGACCTTTCCATGTTCACTTCCTTCTCCTGTACTTTTTTTTTTTTAACCATGCCATTCAGTTTTAGTCTGAGACACTAACCCAAGTCTCTACACTGGCTAGCTCACTAGCCTCTATTCATTGTTTACAAATATGTCAGGCCCCAAGCACTGATGAGTAAACTATGCAAAGAAACATGCCCAAGGTTAACAACTAAAATAAGCGAAGGAGCCCTGCTTTAAATCTGTATCTGCCAAGCTTACAATCTATTACTTTCAGTGATAGATTGTCACGGACATCTGACTCCAGGTGCTTTTCAACTCTGGGACAGATGCATTTTCACATGGGAAATGACTATATATTTGTAGTTTGCCTGTAGAGAAGGCATGGCAGAGGGTCATTTTCTAATAGATCAGACTCAGTGTTTCTCTGATTTAAGGGTTATGCACAGGGGTGATGGCTGCAGTGGTAGGCATGAGGAGAAGCTGCTGCTACCTGACTCCTTGACTTTTTGCTACTGTCAGAGAAACCAACGCTGGAGTAAGTCACCTACTCAAGGTCACATAATTTTCCAGATGACAATATAGAGTTACCTGTGAGTGTTGGCACCTAACACTTTGATGCTAAAATGTACTGCATAAATAAACATATGGAGCACTTCTTTACCTGGATGGTAGGCAGTACAATTGACTTTTTTTCTGCCTCAGCTGATTCTGAGAAAAGAATTGCTTTTCCCTGTTTTCTAGACCCACCTCCCTAGATTTCCTCTTGGTGCACACTGGTTGCTGCCTCCAGACTGGGTTGCCTAGCAACCAAGCTCTGCAGGCTTCCTAATAGACCAAGGCTTTTCCTTCCAGTCCAACTGCTATACTAATGCTCATTGTTGACAAGGGAGCAGCTCCCTGCTGAGCATATGCTGTAATCTGGAAGCAGATTTGGGGACTTGGTGCCAGGAGCTATGGACATCTCTCCTGAAACAGGAGGGATAGAAGTTTGAGGCTGAACTCATTTTATTGCATGGACTATTAGCTGCATTGATAGATATCTGTACAGGCATTTCCACTTGGTCAGTCATAAGACATTACATTAGAGTAGATATTTTTGTTACAGTGGGAAATGAATTCAGAAAATAATTTGCATCATCATCTTCTTCACCCATACAATCCACAAAGAAATCCTCTAATATTGCAAGGCATACAACCATGCAGTCTGAAATCATCTCATATCTCTCATCTAAGCAGCTCAGCTCAGATTTCAGCTTTGTTCAACTAGAAACCCTTAAATTCATAGAGAATCTTCACACCCATCTCATTAGATCTTAACATTGGGCCATCATCAAGGTCAATAGAAAATGGAGTGACACTCTCACTTAATACAAAATGAGGTAAATCACCTAAAGGTAGACAAGGAAAAGGAGACAGAGTTTGTACTTCTAAAACCAGCTCTTCACAGACATCTGACTTCAGGTACTTTTCAACTCTGGGACAGATGCATTTTCACATGGGAAGTGACTATATATTTGCAGTTTGCCTGTAGGGAACGGAGGGCAGAGGGTCATTTTCTAAATTAGTAAATAAGCTTGGAGAAATGTAACAACTTATTCTAGGTCACTCAGTAAAGCTCTGACCCTCTTATCTTTCTGAATCAAGGCAATCAGCTATAAATGCTGCATTACTGATTTCTCTCTTGCTTTATTCTAAAATAGCATATGAACGTATTTAGAGAGATACGCAAGCAACTAAATTTTAAATAGACATGATTGATAAAATACAATTAAACACACTCAACTATTGAATGTGGCAAAATTTTATAATCTTTTTTGTTTTATTAGAAAAAATCAAGATAATACATTTAATGAGGATAGGCACTGTGTCTATTTTTCTCACCTTCATGTCATTTATAGGTTTGTACAGAGCATGGCATATAAGAGTCATATCACAAATATTTATATAATTAAAAATAAAACTAAAGAGAAAACAAATAAGGAACTGGTATGTTACCAAATATAGCAAAAAGAACTGTGTTCCAATTCCTACTTCCTGTGCTCTACTTAGATCATCTTAGGTTAAAAAGCAGGAAGACCTTTCTGGCATTTAATACCACTAAAATCTCAGAATGTTTTCCTGAAGAAAAATAAATTGATCTTCTTTGTGAAACAAGACTAGGCACCCAACTGTAAGGCCAGATGCCCTGTAATTCATATTGGGAACAGGAGAAAGTTTCAACCAAACCAGAAATGTCCTCTAGCCCTCAATATTTTAATTTTTCTTCCTCTTATTTAATATTACTTCATCCTTAAACACAGTGATAACCAAAGGCATTTTGCTTACCAAGTTCTGCAATAGATTATTTTTCTGGCAAGTTAATCACAGCATAATGGTCAAGAGCACAAAACAATTGTATATATAACAGTCAGACTGACCTAGGTTAAAAGGCGCCCCTCCTAATGGCTGTGCTACCCCTAGGCCTCTTTCACCAGTTTCCTTGGAGGCAAAATTGGGATAATCCCAGCATGTATGTCACAGTGGAGTTGTAGACACGTAATAAGATAATGCTTCCGAAGCTTTTAGTTCAATCTGGCATGTAGTTCAATAAATGTTAGCCATTAATTTCTATGATAATAATAGGTAATAATTTGAATAAATACTTGGCTTTATATTTGTTTTTCTTTAATGGGTCTATGTTCTTTGGCCTTTGTTCAATCAAGTCATGGAAAGTGTTCCTAGTCTACTTCCAAGAAACGTATTCAAACAGCATTTAACAAAATTTAGCATCTTTCTAGACTCAGGGAAGAAATCCCAGAGAAGTTATAGTATAGACAGACCTTGTCCACAAAGGACTTTGCTGTTGGTACCCCACCAACTCTTTTTCTCTTCCCACCCCACCACCTGGAAGGAGGAGCTCTTCAGTACACACTGTTCCTGCCCCTCCCTATGCTGGATGGAAACATACCATGTTTTTCTATCACATGCTAGATTCTTCTGACACCATCTGTTCTTTTTAGCCTACAGCACACAGTTTGCCTTGCTGTCACAACTCTATTTGAAAATGTCGAGAAGAAATGTGATGAATGATTCTGAGGAATGTTGTTTACCTACTAACCATCCACCACTGAGTGGTAGGGAGTGCGGGTTGGAAAATAGCACAGGCCCTTCCAACCATGGGATTTCTATGATTAGCCTTACCTAATATGTCACTGAGTTTGAAAGATAGAAAGGCTGATTCTAAGGAGTTTTAATCCAAGAAGCACTTGTTGCTATGGATCCTACTGTAGGTCTCATTTACTGAACTCTTAGTTTCCACTAGGCACTATGTTAATTACCCAACCACACATTATAGCACTTAATCCTCACAGCACTCCAACAAGGAGGAGGATATACTGTTATCATCCATATGTATACTTGTGAAATTAGCAGCTTGAGAAAATCAGTTAACCTTCTCATGGTCACAGCACTAGGAAATGGAAGTGTTATGAGCCCAAGTTGTCTGTCTCCAGACTCTCTGTCTTTGACCCATGCATACCCTGCCTTGGCATGCATTCATTTCAAGAATAGGAAACTGATAACCAGTTGGCTTGTTTTCTCTGGGTCCCACTGTTAAGATGAGTCCTGGAGTTGCCGTTCTGTTTTGCTATTGTGGTAACCCTAAATTTGAAGCTCATTAAAGGAAGAGATAGTGGTGACATGATTACACACACACCACCTTTGGTCATGCATAGTAGATGCTAAGTATCACTGGTGGATGGTTTATCCAATGGAGACTGTTACCAAGGTGATCAAATTATTTATCATCCAAATCAGGACATATTTGAAAGGGGAAAAGGGTCTACTAAAAATTATACTAGGACAATACTCTAAACTGGGGTCATCTTCAGCAAACTGACCCACATGGTTGCCCTAGTTATAACTCCTGTTCTACTATATTTATTCAATGTCGTGAGTTTCCTCTGAGGTAAAGGTTAGGAACAGGCTTCAAAAACAGGTAAATTAGAACACCACGAAATGGAGCCATCTATTTTAAATACAAATGTAGAAACAGAGACTATCAAAAAGACAACTTGAATGTCACCCTGATTTTATTTTCCCTTTTATAAATGTGTTTGTGATTTTTTTTTTCTGCTCCTCAGCAGATGCTACCTGATTTGTGCTCCAGCTAATGTCACTCACGTCAGGAGTGTTGCCAAATGCAATGAGGTGCGACTGACACCAGGGAAGATGATGAGCAAAGAGAATGGCAGCTGGCTGTGTTTCCTTCTTATAGCATTTTAATGAATCAAGGAGCATCCTGATAGAGTACATCTGGACATGCTAGAAGCCAGACTCTAAGATCCGAGAACCCTAAGGCGGCTCCATCTTCATGACAGGGAGGATGGGTCCTGAATAGAGGGATGAGGCCTGAGAAATATAAAAGGCAGTTGCAGTGCTATAGAAAGAACTATACATTAGTGGTTAGAAAACCTGAGTTCTCTCTCACTCTGTGTTACTCATTAGTTTTTTGACTTAGGCAAAATGTTTGTCTTACTCGAGACTCTTTTAACAATAAAAACACACTAGAGTTACCAACAGGGTCCCAAAGGCAGTGGATAGGGGATCTAGAAAGCTACTACAAGGGGCCCATTCCTCTTTCATTATTGCTTCCCTTTCTTCTCTCTCTCTGACAATCAGCTTTTTTTCCTTTACCTCCCAGTCTGCCTGGTGGAAGACAAGATAATCCAAGTTTTCATGGTATAGGTCCAGCCACAAGGAAAGACTGATTCCTGATTCTCATTTCCATGTTTAATTCCTAGCTGAAGGTATGATAGGCCTAGCTAATTCCCCCTCACCAAAAAGTATGAACAGAGTGTGTATGAATTTTAGACATCATGCCTGAGGCCCACTCCTTTGGCCCAATAGATGGTGGATCAGTTCTCATTTCAAGGGGACTGTTTGTCAGCTGAGATGTTTCCAAAGGTATTCATTTGCTTGTGTAACTTTATTTCCTCAAAAGTAAAATCTGACCTCCCTTCCCTTGTGTGGTTATAAGTCTTAAAGGAGACCATGTACAAGAAAAAAAATTGTGAAATTCAAAGGGCTTTATATATATCAGGCACTAGCTGTAAACTGAAGTCACCCTGTGAATCAGATGTAGAGTTACCATATTTAGGCTCACACCCTCTAAATCCCCAAGGTGTAGTCCTCTTTCCATGGACAGTTGGAAGGTCAATGTCATTGAAAGAAAAAAGGTAAAGCTTACCTAATGTGAATATTGTGGGCTTAGAGTTCACCAGCAGGCAAGAACTCTCTCCAGGGTTGTAATTAATTACCTTATTTGCATTATGTAAATGCTACCTTTTAAAATTTCATAATTGTTATTAAACTCAGTTATTTCTCTAAGCTCTGAGCTACTTAATTACTAGAACTGTAAACAGAACATAAGGGCTGCAGAATGCATGAATATTTAGTGATACCAACAGATTTTGTTCATGACCTGCCACGATTATTAATATTACTTTTAATTTTAACAGAGCAGGTTGTCAACATGGGTACTAAACATGAAGCAAAGGCAACTCCTTTATCCAGAACTTAATTCACTACGAATGCCACTCCAAAAGGAAAGGATGTCCAATCTGACAAGGGATTAATCACCATAATATATAAGGAGCCCAGACAATTATAGTGGAAAAAATCTAATAATCTGATTTTAAAATGGGAAAAAGATCTGAATAGACATTTCTCAAAAGAAGACATACAAATGGCCAACAGGTATACAAAAAGGTGCCCAACATCGTTGATATCATCAGAGAAATGTGAATCAAAAGTACAATGAGACATCGCCTCATCCCAGTTAAAATGGCTTTTATCCAAAAGACAGGCAATAACAAATGCTGGTGAGGTTGTGGAAAAGAGGGGACCCTAGTACACTGTTAGTGGGATTGTAAATTAGTACAACCACTATGAAGAACAGTTTGGAGGTTCCTCAAAAAACTAAAAATCCAGGTACCTTACAGTCCAGTAACCCCCTGCTGGGTATATACCCAAAAGAAAGGAAATTACTATATTGAAGAGATATCTGCATTCCCATGCTTATTGCAGCACTGTGCATAAATAGCCAAGATTTGGAAGCAATCTAAGCATTCATCAACAGACAAGGGGATAAAGAAAATGTGGTACATATACACAACGGAGGGCTATTCAGCCATAAGAAAGAATGAGATCCTGTCATTTGTAACAACATGGGTGGATGTGTTAATTGAAATAAGCCAGACAGAGAAAGACAAACTTCACATGTTCTCATTTGTTTGTGGGAACTAAAAATTAAAACAGTTGAACTTATGAAGATAGAGAATAGAATGATGGTTATCAGAGGCTAGGAATGGTAGTGGGAGTGGGGGAGGGGAAGTGGGGATGGTTAACGGGTACAAAAAATAGAATGAATAAGATCTAGTACTAATAGCACAACAGGGTGATTATAGTCAATAATAAGTGTACATTTTAAAATAAAGGGCATAATTGGAATGTTTATAACACAAAGGATTAATGCTTGAGGGGATGGATACCCCAATTACCCCGATGTGATTATTAAACAGTGTATGCCTGTATCAAAATATCTCATATAACCCATATATACACCTATTATGTATCCCCCAAAAATAAAAACTAAAAAAAGGATATACATCTCATTCATGACCTGTAATAATAGTCAAGCAAAAGACAGATCACTACTAAGGCCTGTCATGAGTAATAATTCAACAATACTGGGGGTTAGAAAAAGGCTAGAATGTAAAAGAATATTCTGGGAGTATTTTATTGATAAGCCCCTTCCACATGTCTGATCTGCAGAGTTCTTCCCTACCAACCCTCTGTAGAACTCCACAGTCTAATTCTGACCCTCTCATAGCCCTCTAAATCCTCACTATTCAAGGGGGAGTAATTATATCTGCCCTGTTTAGCTGGAGCTGGCAGACCATAAATGCTCTGCAAAGGGAGCAGCAGAGAAGAGTTGAGAGTCAACGTTTCAGGCATATTTGACCCAAGAAAGCCAGAAGTGATACATGTTTTGGGTGAACATGAGCTATCTTATATTGAACCATTGAGAGACTAGGTGGAGTCATTCTGTGAAGCCCTCAGCAGGTAAATACATGGTGGCTTTAGCTCTAGGCGAAAGATAGTAAGGTGTAAACTGTTGAGTCTTAGTACAATAGGAGAGAGTGAAACTTGTGGAAATGTGAAAGGAAAGGGATTAAGAAGGAGTAGAATGAAAAGACAGCAAAGGGAAAAAGAAACCACAGGATAACCTTGAACAGGCTGAGTTTAAAAAAAAAAAAATCAACTTAAGGAGAGGCTGTTCTTTATACTGCCAAGGGTGCACACGTGCAAACATATATACACAGAGACACATAGCTATACATTTCTTCCACCCACACATCCCATATATACACAATAGGCTCGTTTTCCTTAACTCAACATATACAACTCATGTGTCCACACCTACACATAAATATGCTCCCATAAATCACACAACATGCTCACTCTCTTTCACTTCTGCATATTTTCTGATATCAACAACAGTAACAACAGCATCTCAGCAAAGCTGTCTAAAACAAGAGCCCACAAATACTTTAAAGACAGGCACAGGGACAAAAACTGTGTGACCAAAAAAGAATGAATCAGAAAGACCTGATCAAATGCCAACAGAAAGGTTAGCATGACCCGCTCCTGCTTCCTAAAGCTTTTGGTAGTTTTTTCTGGAATTCCGTAAATAGAATTACTAATGGAAGAACTTCAGGTTAATGGCTAAGTATTATCATTATCCAGATTGGTTCCCATTTTGGAAAGAATATTTTAGTGTTCATGTTCACCAAATGACCCTATTCAAATGTTAACTGAAGTAGCAAGATATAAAAACATAAACCGCAGTCCTTCTAGATTCATTCCAAATGCACATAAAAATCAACTTGGACACAAACATACAGACACATACTTGAACATCTCTTACTATGAAGTGTATCACTGCTAAGACTCATATCCAGCTTTATCACTAAAGAAGCTTTTTGGCCAGGCGCGGTGGCTGACGCCTGTAATCCCAGCACTTTGGGAGGCCGAGGCAGGTGTATCATGAGGTCAGGAGTTCGAGACCAGCCTGGCCAATATGGTAAAATCCTGTCTCTACTAAAAATACAAAAGTTAGCCGGGCGTGATGGCGTGTGCCTGTAGTCCCAGCTACTTGGGAGGCTGAGGCGGAAGAATCGCTTGAACCCAGGAGGCGGAGGTTATAGTGAACTGAGATCACACCACTGCACTCCAGCCTGGGCGACAGAGCAAGATTCTTTCTCAAAGAAAAAAAAAAAGAAGAAGAAAAAGTTTTAATTACATAGCTGAAGGTAGTACTACATAAAGAAAAGGGCAATTAGATTGACTTGCAAACTACCATATATAGTAAGAACTAACTATGTATAGACACTGTTCTAACATTTTTACATTCTCTCATTTAATCCTGACAACTCTATGAAGTAGGTATTATTATTTTCATATTACATATGAGGAAACAGACAGTGAGAAATTAAATCTTATGTTGAGAAAATGGACTTTGAACGCAGATGGTCGAACTCTAAATATTATGCTAAAATGACATTTTATTCTTATGCCAGCCACAGACTAGTAGTGAGTTTCTTTGGTCCTCTGTGGAAAAGTACTTTGGGCTATGTTTGGGCTTCATAAGAAGTGCTATACTCAATGGCTGAAGTCTGCCACAGGTAAGAAGGTGAATGAAGACATGCACAGAGAGTATTTGCAACACTGATCTGGGTTCCAGAGGTTGAGCAATCACTAACTATAGGTGTAAGCTTGCCCAAATACCGCAGGTGAGAAGTGAAGGAACAAAGACAATTTCACTACATTGGCAACATTGTAATGGATTTTGGACTCATGTGAAGACATCTTACCACAACCCTGAGTGGCTCAATGTCGTAAGGTTTTAGATCACTATCCTCTAGTTTAGAATTTCACAGCTGAAATGTTTGTTTTCCTAACTCCACTCTGCCTGAGTTGGTCAGAGTTCTCCAGAGGGACAGAATCAATAAAATGTATGTATATATATATAAAGACATTTATTAGGGAGAATTGGCTCCCGTGATTACAAAGGAAAGTCTCCCAATAGGCCCTCTGCAAGCTGAGGAAAGAGAGAGGCTGGTAGTGAGGTTCAGTTCAAGACAAAAACCTCTCACAATCAGGAAGGCTGACAGTGCAGCCCTCAGTGTAAGGCCAAAGGCCTGAGAGCCCCAGGGGACCCCTGGTCCAAGTTCTGGAGTCCTAAGGCCAAAGAACCTGGAGCCTAATGTCCAAGGGCAGTAGGAGAGGAAGCAAGGTGTCCAGCAAGGTGTGAACTCCAAATATCCGAGATAGGTCTCAATCAATTTAGGAAGTTTCTTTTGCTAAAGTTAAGGACTGTGCACCCCTGACATAGCCTCAAGAGGTCCTGAAGACATATGCCCAAGGTGGTCGGGCACGGTTTGATTTTATACATTTTAGGGAGACAGGAGACATCAATCGATATGTGCAAGATGCACATTGGTTCAATCCGAAAAGGTGGGACAACTCGAAGCAGGAAGGGGGCTTCCAGGTCATAGGATAGATAGGAGACAAATTGTTCCATTCTTTTGAGTCTCTGATCAAAGTAGGTGATCAAATAGATATGCATTTATCTCAGTGAGTTCTGTCTGTCCTTTGTCCACAAGGAAATTCCTTATCAGGGAGGTATGTAGCTTATCTTAGCTATCTTTTTAAGCAATAGAATGGGAGGCATATTTGCCCTAAGCAGTTCTCAGCTTGAATTTTCCCTTTGGCTTCATGATTTTGGGGTTCTAAGATTTATTTTCCTTTCACAAAGGAAGAGAAAGAGGCAGAGAGGGAGAAGAGAGAGCTGGAAGACTCAGCAAGCTGCTTATGCCCCTTCTTCCCCCTGCTTTGTTCTGGCTGTGCTGCCAGATGATTGAATGATGCCCACCCACACTGAGGAGGGCCTTCCTCTCCTAGTCCACTGACTCAAATGTCAATCTCCTCTGGCAACACACTCACACTCACACTCATAAACCGTACCTCATTAGCCATCTAGGCATCCCTCAATCCAGCCAAGTTGACACTTAATATTAACCATCACAAAATCCACTGTTTGTCAACTTGACACCCATATATATTTTAAAATTATACTTAATCTCTAAAGATAAGTCATAATTCTGCCTAACATAATTATTCTCCATGCAAGCAAAAATGCACAAATCCTTAAATATTATCACATAAAATTAACACTGAAGTGCCGACATGAATTCAATATATTTTATGTTACATGTCAAGGGAATAAAGAAAATAAAGATATTTGCTTAATACAGGTATATATATATGCACAAACATATTTTTAACAAAATGAGCAAACATAGTCTTCATTTCTGTAACAGGTCACATGTTCATAGTTGGTATTAATAATTACCTTTTCCTGCTTGCAATCCCAGCACTTTGGGAGGCCGAGGTGGGCAGATCACCTGAGGTCAGGTGTTCGAGACCAGCCTGGCCAACATAGTGAAACCCCATCTCTACTAAAAATACAAAAATTGGCTGGGTGTGGTGGCACACACCTGTAATCCCAGCTACCGGGGAGTCTGAGGCAGGAGAATCGCTTGAACCCGGGATGCAGAGGTTGCAGTGAGCCAAGATTGTGCCACTGTACTCCAGCGTAGGTATCAAAGTGAGACTCTGTCTTAAAATTTAAAAAATTACCTTTTTCTATTATTTATTTTGTATTTTCTTTGTCTTTAACAAGTACTTAGCTGGTTGTGGTTTTTTATTTGCTAGAGTGACCCAAACTTATTTTTTTTGTTTCATTTTGTTTTGTATTTTGAGATGATGGAGTCTCATTCTGTCGCCCAGGATGGAGTGCAGTGACATGAACTCAGCTCACTGCAACCTCCGCCTCCTGGGCTCAAGAGATTCTCCTGTCTCAGCTTCCCGAGTAGCTGGGGTTACAGGTGTATGCCACCACACCCTGTTAATTTTTGTTGTATTTTTACTAGAGACTGGGTTTTGCCACGTTGGCCAGGCTGGTCTCGAACTCCTGACCTCAGGTGATCTGACTGCCTCGGCTTCCGAAAGTGCTGGGGTTACAGGTGTGAGCCACCACACCAGGCCCCAAACTTTCACTCTCACAGGGTCTGGGCCATCCCTATTCCTGCCTGGATTGGGCTGTTGTCATTTCCTGTGGACCGTAACTATAAGGCAGGGTAATACTATTAATAACAGACACCCTAAGGGATTTTTTATATTCCACAAATACTCTCTCTTACCTCCACTGTGGAGTAGTAGTGGATTTTGATTGTCTACGTCAGTCACCACAGCCAACACTGTAACCCCTTTCTTAACCTTTTGACTCAGAGGCATGAGGAGTTAAAAGTGGCCAGGTGGCAGTCTTAACTTTCATTTCAATGGAATCAATGTTGTGTCTGGGTGGCAGCATTCCTCCCTCAGGAACTAAGACCTCTAGGCCAGCAGAACATAATGTCATGGGAACAGGAAGCAAAAATTCTGCTGTTGGGTCACTAGGGGTAATGGTGAGTGGTGCCACTTCTACTTCCTATTAACCATCACACTGCCTCACACCTGTTACTAAACATAATAGAATTCAATCTACAATAAAGCTCCTTTATGTATTTATAATATAGTGGGGAATTAAATGAATGTTCAAAAGTTGTGACAGTAAAGAAAGTGATTTTCCATACTCAGAATTCAATAGAGAAGAAAATAAAAGGACAGTTGAAAGTCCATCACTTGAACAAAGCTCAATATGTTTAGCTGCTCTATCAGACCACTAATAAAATCATGTGCTCACCTTCCAAAAAGAATATAATGCTTGGGCCGGGCGAGGTGGCTCACGCCCGTAATCCCAGCACTTTGGGAGGCCAAGGCAGGCAGATCACAAGGTCAGAAGATCGAGACCATCTTGGCTAACATGGTGAAACCCTGTCTCTACTAAAAATACAAAAAATTACCCAGGCGTGGTGGCGGGCGCCTATAGTCCCAGTTACTCGGGAGGCTGAGGCAGGAGAAAGGCGTGAACCTGGGAGGTGGAGATTGCAGTGAGCGGAGATCATGCCACTGCACTCCAGCCTGGGCAACAAAGCGAGCCTCCATCTCAAAAAGAAAAAAAAGGAATATGATGCTTAATACTGAACAATGGATATGAGTAAGAAGAATGCTCTATATCAATTTAATTTTTTTTTTTTTTTAGATGGAGTCTCACTCTGTTGCTCAGGCTGGAGTGCAATGGTGTGATCTCGGCTCACTGCAACCTCCGCCTCCCGGGTTCAAGCGATTCTCCTGCCTCAGCCTCCTGAGTGGCTGGGATTACAGGTGCCTGCCACCATACCCAGCTAATTTTTGTATTTTTAGTAGAGACGGAGTTTCACCGTGGTGGTCAGGCTGGTCTCAAACACCTGACCTCAGGTGATCTGCCCGCCTCGGCCTCCCAAAGTATCAATTTAATTTTTACAACAACTTCTAGCAGCCCTGTTAGAGAACTTATGTAAGGTCACCAAGCCATTCTGAGAAGATCCAGAACTATCACCCCAAGTTGCTAATACCCAGCTTATTTTTTCTCTGCCCTCAGATTTGCCATTTAGGGGATGGGAAGAACAAAGTGTTTGTCAGTCTCTCTCATGACCAAGGGTCTGTGGGCAGATGATTGGCAGGGAAAAGGGCTGTGGGTTGTGTCCATGGAAGGCTTGGCCCTCAGCCTGGCTTCATTTGAATCACACACTCAAGTGACAGAATTAACCAGCTGTGAAGATTGAGTTCACTGAAAAGGAAAAATGAAGCTGCCAAAGTTGGGGGTGGGGGATGCTAATGCAATCTGAGACTGTGTTAAATAGAACAACAGGCATTTGTTGGTTTTTTCTCTCTGCTCTTCTTCATGAAGGCTTTAAGGGTGTAATACAATTTTTGTGTAGAAACAAGCAGATAGAAATCTCTCTCCACACTTTTGGCTGTCAGATCACACACTGAAAGAGAGTCCTAAATTCCAAAAAGAGCTTCAGGAGGTCTTTGGGAAATTAGAACTTGAAGGGTGACCAGGATGATGATGGGGCAAAAAGCAATGGCATGTGGTGGATGAATGAAGAACCTGAGAATATTTATTCTAACAAAAGGAAATTAAAGACAGTTATGTTTTACCTAACACTTAAAATTGTCACATTGAAGAAGATGACTTTTTTTATGTGGGTTTGGAGAACAGAATACAACTGATAGTTGAAAGCTCTAAAACTTGTCCAAAAATGAAAAACAATGCTTGTGAAGTAATGAGTACCTAATATCCAAAATATTCAAAAAGAAATACATGTATAAATTTCTCTGCAGCATGTCTAATGTCAGGTGGTCATAAGGAACTTTTAACCAACTCAGTCATATATTTTCTAAGTTATCTTTTCTTCTTTATTAGGCACTATTGTGGAAGATTTCATATGTTTATTTGCTAAATCTTAATAAGTAACTTGGGCTACTTTTGTATAAAATGCCAAAGAATTTTTGATCAAAATTAAGGAGGGAAATATGTCACATGTCTGGATGGATCAAGGTGGCTGGGGAGAGATATCATCTACTTCAATTGTCATGGGATTTACTTTTTAAATTTTTCCCTACAAAGGAACGAAACATTTCAAATACATACAGACTTCTGGGCTGTGGATTATACTATCAGCCATTTGGAAGATTTGACAATAGCAAATCATTTATCACTGATACAACACATTAGTCCAGCTCCTTTGAACTGAAAGGGGTTTTAGGACCAATCCCAGTATCGCCTTCTTTTCTCTCTTTATGAATTCTACTAAGTTATTATTCTCATAAGAGCCCACCTGATCCAGCTATTTGTAATGCAGTTAGTGACCTCACTACCCCGACTCCAGTTGAATACCTTATATATGGAAAGAAAACAGTGAAGCTGTTCTTTCATCTCTTCTGTAATTCCCAGACTTAAAAAAAATAACTATCTGCATTTTCTGAAGGTTTTATATCAGATTCCCTTTATTCTGCTGATACAGCAGTAGATACAATAGCTGTGTAGGGCAATTTTGTAGCCAACTTGCTGCAACTGAACAAGGCAGGATGAGAGATTGTATTCAAAATTTAGTTTCCCAGTTCTATATGTCTTTCCAGATGAGTAAGATCAGAACTTTCATTCATAGAAGATGACAATAAGTCACAATGGTTAAAAAAAAGGGGGGGGGACCCTTTCCTTATAGGTGCTGCTGAATTGAATATCTTTAGAACCAAAAATCACAAATATGAAAATTCGATGCCTTCAGAATAAAGTAAATAGGGAAAAGGGATGGATATGAAGCAATAGAAAGCATAGTGTTGATGTTTAGTTGGAACCTCTGTTCTCTGCTTAAACACTTTGTAATTCAACAACAACATCAATACAACAACAATTTAAAAATGTAGCTTAACCAAACACTTCCATTGAATATTTTTAGCTTGTAGATTTGCCATTTGAGCTGAAAGGATCGTTAAACATCACCTGGTCCAGTGGTTTTTAACTCTGACTCCAGATTCAAATGCCTGGACAGCTTTTTAAAAATACTAACGCCTACTCCTCACACCAGATCAATTAGATGAATATCTCTGCCATGACAACCAAACAACAGTGTACTTTAAAAACGTCACCAGCTGATTCTAATGCACAGCTAGGCATAGGAAGCAATATGAGGAAACAAAAGTGGAAAGAAATAAAAGGTTTAAGATTGTAGTAGCATGTCGTAGCTAGCATAACCAACTCTTAATTTTCAATGATTAACTTCATAGGTTCAAGCTCCAAGATGTCCAGAACCAAACGCGAAGAAGAATTAATGAAATGGATATATGCAAAACTCGTCAAGATTCTCATTTGGCTACAGCAAATTATTTGGCGAGTTGAAAGTTTAGTTGTGTTAATGATATGCTACACCTTCTATACCTGTAATGTGCCAAAAATAACTGAACACTTTAGATTTCTCTTTAAATCCAGTAATAATCCATTAAAGAGATAAAGGTGCCAATGTGCAGGCAAGTAAACCACATTGCCAAGTATACAAGCTAATACATTTCCCAGGATGGATTTAGAGTTTCCTATTTCAAGCAAAATTTACAGAAAGTTAAATGCACAAATCTTCAGTGCACAATTACACGAGTTTAGCAACTATATACATCCATGTAAACAACACTATCATGATGCAGAACATTTTTATCACCCAGGAAATTACTTCATGTCCCCTTCCAGTCAATCCACTCTCCACAGGAAACAACTAGAGTTCTGATTTTTATCATTATGTACTAGAACTTCACATCTTAGGAAATCATATAGTGCTGTCTCATTTGTTTCTTGCTAGTTTAGGCAGTATCATTTTTTTGAAATCCATTCATATTGTTCCATGTTATCAGTAATTTGTTACCTTGATGTAGCTGAGGAGTATTCCATTATATGAATATACCACAACTTATGTACCCATTGTACTCTTGACATTGGCTATTGTTAGTAAAGCTTTTGGCTATTTACTAGTAAAGCTGCTATAAACATGCTCAAGTCTTGTTGTAGAAACATTTTCATTTCTCATAGGTAAATAGTCAGGGATGGAATTTCTGAGTCACAACAGAGGTATATGCTTAACTTTATGAAAATCATCAAGCTGTTTTCCAAACTGGATGCTCCATTACCTACTTCTCTGAGTAAGATCTGGGAGTTCCACTTACTCCACATCCTCACCAACATTTGTTGTTGCCACAACGAAGTGGTGCAATAGTTTATTTTTATTTTCGTTTACATTTCTCTGATGATTAATGATATCAAGCACATTTTCATGTGCAATTCACCATTTTTTTTAAATGTCCAAAACTTTCATTCAGTTGTAAAAAAAAACAACAGTATCTTTTTATTAATGGTTTGCTCTTGTTCTGGGTGAAGTTCATCATCGAATATATATTGCTAATATTTTTTCCCACATTACAGCTAAACTTTTAATTTTCTTTTGATGGGCAGAGAATTTTTGTTGTTTTATTTTTGTGAAATCCGATTTATTGCTTTTTTGCAGCTAGTGTTTTTTCTTTCATCTCTATAAAATCTTGCCTAGCCTAAGATTGTAATATAGTCTTCTGTGTTTTTTTTCTTCATAAAACCTTTACAGCTTTAGCTTTTATAATTGAATCTATAATTTATCTACATTAATTTTGTGAATATTGTGAATTGTGGCTAAGAAGATTCATTATTTCCATGGTTATCTAGTTATTCCAGCACTGTTTGTTCAAAAAGACTTTCCATTGAAGTGTCTTTGAGCTTTTATTGAAATTAACTGACTATGTGTGTATTGATTTCTTTCTGAGCTTTACTTTGTCCCAGGGATCAGCTTGTATAACCTTATGCTAATGCAATACTATCTTGATTATTGTGGCTTGCTGCAGGTCTTGATATAAAGTAATAATATAATTTATCTGAATTTGTTCTTTTTCAAGATAGCTTTGGAAGTTCTTTATTTCTTGTATTTTCATATAAATTTTAGAATAAACTTGTGTATTTCCACCAAAAAAATGCAAATTTCATTTAGTTTGTAATTAGGTCTAATCAAACCATATTAAATCTTCCAGTTCATTAACATGTTCTCTATCTTCATAAACTTGGGTCTTCTTTAAATCTCTGAGGAATATGTTAGAATGTTTAGTAGAGTTTCTGTATCTTTTTGGGTAGTGCAGAGGGGGGCATAAAGAAAGAATGGTTAATGGGTACAAAAATACAGTTAAAAAGAATAAGATCTAGCATTCAGTAGTACAATAGCACAACTACAGTTAATAATTTATGGTATATTTCAAAATAACTAAAAGGGTGGAATTGAAATGTTCCTAACACAAAGAAATGATAAATATTTGAGGTGATAGCTACCCTAATTTGATCATTACATGTTGTATGCTTGTATCAAAATATCACATATGCCCATAAATGTGTATAACTCTTACGTATCCATAATTAAAATTTGTTAAATATATATGGTCTGTTTATGCTATTATAAATGGTATATTTACATTTTCCAAATGTTTGCAGCTAAATAGAAATACAACTTTTTATTTTTTATTGATGTTATATCAATCATTGCCATAGGTTACCTGTAATATGTCAGAAACTCTATTAAAGATTCTACATTTCAATATTTTATGGCAATCTATTTAAGAGAAAAGGAAACTGAGGCAGAAATAAATGAATTATACATTCAAGAACATAAAGCTACAATGTTTAAACTGCTCTGCTTACGTCATAATATGGAGCACCTTGAGTATCACATCCTTGAGGGCATGGGCCTACCAGTCAGTGAGTTTCCCTGGTAGGTCTTTCAGCAGGGAAATATAAGGATGTTTTAAGAAACATATACAGATGGAGGTGGGAATAATGAAATGGATGGGGTGATGAGATTCAGACTGCATGTTGTCAAATATCTCACATACTGCCAGCCACCTCCAATTCAACCCCATTTCTTTAAGTTTGCTAGGAGTGAAGTTTCATGCTGCCACTTTGGAAAACAGTCTGGTAGTTGTTCAGTGATAAAACATAGAATTATTGTATGACCTAGCAGTTTCACTGCTAAGTACACACTCAAGAGAAATGAAAATTTATGTCCACACAAAAACCTGCATGTGAATAGTTATTGGAGCATTACTTACAATAGTCAAAAGGTGAAAACAACCTAACTGTTCACGAACTGATAAATGGATAAGAAAAATGCAATGCATCTATTTAAAAGAAACTGTCTATGAAAGGAATGAAGTATGATCCATGCAACGTGAATGAACCTTGAATATATTATTATGCTAAGTGAAAAGCCAGTCACAAGAAGACCACATATCATGTAATTCCATTTATATAAAATGTCCGGAATAAAGAAATATCTGTAGATAGAAAGTAGTAGCAATTGCTCAGAGCTGGGGCAAGGGAAGACAGGAGAGTGATAGCTAAATGATATAGGACTTCTTTTTCAGGTGATGAAAGTGTCCTAAAATTAATTGACTCTGGTAATGGTTACTCATATTGATGAACACAATGAAAATGATTAAATTCACATATTTTACATATGTGAATCATAGAGTAGTATGTGAATTGTAACTTAACTATTAAAAATAAAAGAATAAAGTTGTCTTTTTTTTTTTTACAGCACAAGGTCTGACACCTAATAGGTGCCCAATAAATATTTATTGGAAAGATTAAAGAAAGAATAAATTCACCATAATAGGCTCCTATTATGTCCACATACTGGGCTGCAGTGAGGAAGGAAAAAATGTTTTTATAAGAGGAATAAAGTAACTCCCTTTTTTTTAAATTATTATTATACTTTAAGTTTTAGGGTACATGTGCACAATGTGCAGGTTAGTTACATATGTATACATGTGCTATGCTGGTGTGCTGCACCCATTAACTCGTCATTTAGCATTAGGTATATCTCCTAATGCTATCCCTCCCCCCTCCCCCTTCCCCCCACCCCACAACAGTCCCCAGAGTATGATGTTCCCCTTCCTCTGTCCATGTGTTCTCATTGTTCAATTCCCATCTATGAGTGAGAACATGCGGTGTTTGGTTTTTTGTCCTTGTGATAGTTTACTGAGAATGATGATTTCCAGTTTCATCCATGTCCCTACAAAGGACATGAACTCATCATTTTTTATGGCTGCATAGTATTCCATGGTGTATATGTGCCACATTTTCTTAATCCAGTCTATCATTGTTGGATATTTGGGTTGGTTCCAAGTCTTTGCTATTGTGAGTAGTGCCACAATAAACATACGTGTGCATGTGTCTTTATAGCAGCATTATTTATAGTCCTTTGGGTATATACCCAGTAATGGGATGGCTGGGTCAAATGGTATTTCTAGTTCTAGATCCCTGAGGAATCGCCACACTGACTTCCACAATGGTTGAACTAGTTTACAGTCCCACCAACTGTGTAAAAGTGTTCCTATTTCTCCACATCCTCTCCAGCACCTGTTGTTTCCTGACTTTTTAATGATTGCCATTCTAACTGGTGTGAGATGGTATCTCATTGTGGTTTTGATTTGCATTTCTCTGATGGCCAGTGATGATGAGCATTTTTTCATGTGTCTTTTGGCTGCATAAATGTCTTCTTTTGAGAAGTGTCTGTTCATATCCTTTACCCACTTTTTGATGGGGTTGTTTGTTTTTTTCTTTTAAATTTGTTTGAGTTCAAGGCTGGTTCAATATATGCAAATCAATAAATGTAATCCAGCATATAAACAGAACCAAAGACAAAAACCACATGATTATCTCAATAGATGCAGAAAAGGCCTTTGACAAAATTCAGCAACCCTTCATGCTAAAAACTCTCAATAAATTAGGTATTGATGGGACGTATCTCAAAATCATAAGAGCTATCTATGACAGACCCACAGCCAATATCATACTGAATGGGCAAAAACTGGAAGCATTCCCTTTGAAAACTGGCACAAGACAGGGATGCCCTCTCTCACCACTCCTATTCAACATAGTGTTGGAAGTTCTGGCCAGGGAAATTAGGCAAGAGAAGAAAATAAAAGGTATTCAATTTGGAAAAGAGGAAGTCAAATTGTCCCTGTTGGCAGAAGACATGATTGTATATCTAGAAAACCCCATTGTCTCAGCCCAAAATCTCCTTAAGCTGATAAGCAATTTCAGCAAAGTCTCAGGATACAAAATCAATGTACAAAAATCACAAGCATTCTTATACACCAATAACAGACAAACAGAGAGCCAAATCATGAGTGAACTCCCATTCACAATTGCTTCAAAGAGAATAAAATACTTAGGAATCCAACTTACAAGGGACGTGAAGGACCTCTTCAAGGAGAACTACAAACCACTGCTCAATGAAATAAAAGAGGATACAAACAAATGGAAGAACATTCCATGCTCATGGGTAGGAAGAATCAATATCGTGAAAATGGCCATACTGCCCAAGGTAATTTATAGATTCAATGCCATCCCCATCAAGCTACCAATGACTTTCTTCACAGAATTGGAAAAAACTACTTTAAAGTTCATATGGAACCAAAAAAGAGCCCGCATCGCCAAGTCAATCCTAAGCCAAAAGAACAAAGCTGGAGGCATCACGCTACCTAACTTCAAACTATACTACAAGGCTACAGTAACCAAAACAGCATAGTACTGGTACC
Source organism: Homo sapiens (assembly GCF_000001405.40). Lineage (NCBI taxonomy): Eukaryota > Metazoa > Chordata > Mammalia > Primates > Hominidae > Homo > Homo sapiens. The sequence goes on along the minus strand of NC_000005.10, from coordinate 152,615,409 downwards.
AAAACAGAGATATAGATCAATGGAACAGAACAGAGCCCTCAGAAATAATGCCGCATATCTACAACTATCTGATCTTTGAGAAACCTGAGAAAAACAAGCAATGGGGAAAGGATTCCCTATTTAATAAATGGTGCTGGGAAAACTGGCTAGCCATATGTAGAAAGCTGAAACTGGATCCCTTCCTTACACCTTATACAAAAATTAATTCAAGATGGATTAAAGACTTAAACGTTAGACCTAAAACCATAAAAACCCTAGAAGAAAACCTAGGCATTACCATTCAGGACATAGGCATGGGCAAGGACTTCATGTCTAAAACACCAAAAGCAATGGCAACAAAAGCCAAAATTGACAAATGGGATCTAATTAAACTAAAGAGTTTCTGCACAGCAAAAGAAACTACCATCAGAGTGAACAGGCAACCTACAAAATGGGAGAAAATTTTCGCAACCTACTCATCTAACAAAGGGCTAATATCCAGAATCTACAAAGTAACTCCCTTTCTTTTATTTATTCTACCATGTGTTAAATCACCCGAAACACCACTTACTGTTCTAGGCTTTATTTAACTAAATCTTTTACATCTTTTGAGGCTCTTTCTGGAATACTGTTGTCATCTATTATGACTGGTATTTTCAGCACTGCCTTAAAGCATGATCTTTGGTAGGTTACTTTACTTTTCCTAGCTTGTTTCTAACAGAATTCTTGAAAGCTACCTTGAGAAGCTGACTAATGAGAACAGCAAATGAAGCAGAAAAGGCTCTGGCTGGAAACTACAACAGGGCTACAATATTACAAAATACAACAGGCAACTTTGTATCATTCAGCATTTTTGCCACCCTAGTTTTCAACTAGAAAAAAAGAAAATATTTGACTTTTTCAGAAAATATCAATATCATCGTTGCTGTGTTTTCTTCTTATCCTTCTCCTTTAAGTTCTTTCAGTCCTACCAAGTTAGAATAGAAAGGGACCTTAGAGATTCTTTAGTTCAGTGCTTTTCACACTTTACTGTGAACGATCTGAAGATTTTTAAATGTAGAATCAGATGTACTAGTTCTGGAGAGAAATTCAAGATTTCAACAGGCTCCCACATGATGTGGATGCTGCTGTTTCATGGACCATACTTTTAGAGTTTAAGTCCAACCTCTTTATGTTGCAAATGAATTAAGTGCTTAAAGGAAAGGAGACTTGTTCAAGGTCACAAAGCTTCCCAGTAGGAAGACCCAAGACCAAAAAGTCTCTAAAATCTTAACTTAGGGTTTTTTCTATTACATAGTATATATCAGAAACCTGAAACACACTTCCCCTTCATCCCCTAATCATTAAGTCTTGAGGTGTCCTGAGATTCTCATACTCATACAAAATCCTCATATGAGTTTTTTTATCTGCCCTACCAAACTCTTAAAAACATTAAACATGAGAGAACAAAACAAAACCCACTCTTTGTCATCAAGGGACAATATTTTCCTCCTAAATGGCCACTCTGCCATCTCAGGATACAGTCAACCTCTGCTCTACTTTCTGTCATCCGTGTGTGATTGGAGATACAGTTGTATTTTAGCTTAGTCAAACCATAGGCATAGCAGATTTGAAGAAAAAGACTCAGAAAAACTTTCAAGAGAAAAATTCCAAGAATAGTCTGTAATTTATAACCCTAGCTATACGGATAAATAAGAAAGGGTTTTAGAACGTAGAGACTCAATAGAATATAATAGAAATAAGTATATGTTGGTATGTGCATAGAGCATTTTTGACAGACTACACAATAAAGTTAATAATGATTAAATTTAATTGCTAATATTTAAGCTTGCATACTTGTGATTAGGAAAAAACTGAGGGCCTTTTTATTCTTACATTGTATAATACCTTTTGGTCTTTTTATTTCTGCCATATGCACATATCAGTTTAATGTTTAAAAATCAGGAATGTTTGAATGACATTAATAAAAGGCAATGTGGCAGACTGTAATCTCCAAAGATGGCCACAGCATATTTTCAATTCCATATGCCTCTCCAGAACCCTACAACTCCCCAACAAGAGTTGTCACCTATTTCCTCTCTCCTCAAACCTGGAAAGGCTTGTGACTTTTCCAGCCATTAGAATAGATTGAAGTAATGCTGTATGACTTCTGGGACTGGGTCTCAAAAAGAATCCATCTTCCCCCTGGCTCCTTCGTTTTGGGTTGCTTGCGAAGACAACCCTTATGCTATGAAAAGGCCCACACTCACCCTCACAAAAGGATCACACAGAGAAGTTCATGCCCAGTGTAGTTGAAGTTCCAGTCAACAACCTTTATCTACCACCATTTACGTGAGTCAACAAGCCTTCAGATGATTCCAGCCCTCAGAATGAATCTTCTAGCTGGGGCCCCACACATCATGGAGAGGAGTCAAGCCATCCTCTTTATGCCCTGTCTAAATTCCTGACTCAGAGAATCCATGAACATAATAAATGGGTTTTATATATCCTAAATTTCAAAGTAGTTTGTTATGTAGCATTAAATAAATGAAACATATTTTATGCCTGGAAACAAGGTGCTGTCATAACAAAACTACCTAAAAACCACACAGGAGTGACTTTGGGATTTGGAGATTAATAGAGACTGGAAAGACACTGAGGAGAGTGTTGGCGAAAACCTAAAGGGTCTTAAGAAGTCTGACAATGAAACTTTGATGGCCTTCAAGAAGAGTCTAAGAGTGGAATTAAATAAATAAAAGGGTTACTGGAAACTGAAAGAATACACTTGTGATATACTGGTAGAAAGTTTAGAAACTCTATTACCTGTGATAACATGGAGGCTAGAAAATGTATTGACTGGTCTAGATAATTGAGCCATGGAGACTTCCAGGTGGAGTATTTATTGAAAGTGCCACCTGTACCATAGACTGCTAGAGCATTCTATGTTAAATATAAGAAAATAGAGAAATGCTAATGAAAAACTACTGAATGTAAAGGAGCCAGGACTTTCTGGGTTTAAAAATAACAGTAGTTTTCATTCCTAGGCTTTCCAGATGGCAAATTATGCTAAAATTAATAAACTGCTTTGGTGTAGAGATCAAATCTTGGGTTCTGTCGGGAAACCATGATCTACAGATAAAATCAAGGGTATGACGTTCAAACCCTTTGTTGAGGTCTCAAAAAGACTTAAGGTGGTGTCTCAAACATACAAAACCCCATTCAAAGATCTTCAGGATATGTCTCAAAGATCCTTTTTATTGAAGTGTGGGATTTCTAAAAATCTTAAGGGCATTGTTCCCTTGCAGAGTTACAATAAGTCTAAGGTAGGCAAGGACTTATTTCAATCATATTTGTGGTTGGTAGCTTTTGTCTAGTGGAGTTAACCTCAATAAATAAACAGAAAATCTACAACATTTACAAGATAATTATTATATTCCCTTATATATTCTCATATACAAAGGAAAACACTGCCAGCTATTTCTTAAGGAAATGGAAGAATGACTCAGAAAACACAGCCAAGAGCCACTGAGAATCATTCTCAAGCAGTAGTCCTGAGAACCAGTCAAAGAACCGGCAAAAAAAAAAAAAAAAAAAAAAAAAAAAAAAGCCTAGTTGGATTTCAAAATTCCTATGGACTAGTGATTGCTGTGTGCCTCATGTCTTCTAACTTTTTAAATAAGAATGCCTTTAGTAGTTATCCTATGCCAGTTCTACCGTGGTATGTTGGATGGATGTGGGAAGACAATTGTTTCTATAGTTTATAGGTTAAGAGAAACTGCACCTAAGAAGCTATATTGAGATGCTATATCTATGGAACATTTTTCATCCCTGTTCTTGTTTCAGATTATGAAATTCTAGGCCGCAAACCTGAGCCTGATACTATAATGGTATGGGACTTTGATAAACGAGTATAGATGGAGAGGTGAGTATATTTTACATGCATGCGAGAAGAATGTGAATTATTGTGGCCGGAAGGCTGACTGTGGCAGATTACATTTTTCAAAAAATAGTTACAGCAACATTTCAAATCCCACTTGCTCTTCTATAATCTTGCTTGTTGCAAACAAATGATAGTCTATTTCTCCTCCCCATGCACCTTGGCTCTCTTGTGGCTGCTCTGACCAACAAAGCACATTGTGATGTTCTGTGACTTTTGAGGCTTTGTCTTAAAAAAAAAAATACAGCTTCTCCCTCCCTGGGCTTAATACCTAGGTGATGAGTTGATCTGTGCAGCAAACCACCGTGGCACACTATATAACAAACCTACACATCCTGTACATGTACCCCTGCACTTAAAATAAAAATTGAAAGAAAAATAATAAAAATTAAAAAAAATAGAAGCATCCAAACCAAAAGAAGAAAAAAGGATACAGCTTCTATCTGCTCTTTTTATTTGAAATGTTTGCTCTGGATCGAACAGCCATCCAGGAGGTAGCCCACACTAGTCCATGCAAAGGGTCCCACGTGGAAAGAAACTTAGGCTGACAGCCAGCATCAACCACCAGACATGTGAGTGAACAAACCTACAGACGACTTCGGCTCCCAGTCTTCAAATCTTCCATTCAATTCCCCAGACATCAAGAGGCTAAAGACAAACCATCCCCGAAGAGTGATGTTTGAATTTTTCACCCACAGAATTTGTGATCATAACAAATGGTTGTTTTATAACACTAACTTTGAGTTAGTGTTATGCAGTATTCCATAACTAGAACAGCTAAGAAGAGTGGCTACCTGCAACTTTTTCACTTTGCTTAGTAATAAGATGAATAAAATTATTTAAAAATGTTTTCATACCCAATAACATATATGATCTTCAAAAAAAAGCAGGACAACATTTTTATGTCTGAATTTACTTTATCCAACTCTTGTGGTAAATATCAATGATCTAAAACCACAGTTAAGGAAAATTAAAGTGACTTGACCAAGGTTATACACTAGTAAACAACAAAGCTATGACACTGACCCAAATTCTCTGACTATAAAATCCAACCCTCACATGAAATATTAACACCATATTCATGAATGTCCATGAAACCCAGGTGTGCATTAGAAAGACAGGCCACTCCAAAGGAAGAACAACCAAGCACCCCTAAATATTGACATTCTGTGATTTAATTAAGTGTAAAAATAATGCTTGGTTTATCCCCATGGCTCCTTGGAAAGTCACCAATCAACTTCCCATGAATGATATCAGGAATATCAAAGAGAAGATGAACACATAACATGTACATCAAACCAACTAGGATGTCAGTTTCATAAGAGCATGATGTTTTGCCTATTTTGTTTAGTATTATATCCCCAGTGACTGAAACAGTGTCTGGCATTTGGTAAATGCTCAGCAACTTTGGCTTACATGATTAAACCCAAGAATACTTCAAAAGTGATCTTTTTTCCATATTCATTGTAAAGCTCTGGTCATGTAAATTCAAAATAAATGAAAGGAAATAGAGTTTAGAATCATACACTTGAATCTCCCAGAGACCTTCCAACTCAGCTAATGAAGTTCCTTTGTATTGCCAGTGGGGAAAATGAACACCTAAGACTGTACATCCCCAGCCACAGGTCACATGGCAACTTGGTGTCACAGAACCACAAAGGCTCCTTCTATTTCAATGTCCTTTTTCTAAGTGTGGTAAATTCATTATTCCCAAGGAACTGTGTGGAATTAAAAGACAGATTTAGAAAAACTAATATATCTTCAAAGGAGAACAGAATGTCTTCGGCATGTCCCTAACCTTTGAAAATAGGATCACAAAGAACAGGCGGGACCTTCCATCCCCATCTCCTTGGCTACTGATTGAAACAGACACCTTATGCAGAGGCCTTTGGGGGCACTGCTGATTTGTTTCTGGGTTTCTTGTTGCATACTGAGATTCGAGAAAGATAAAGGGGATTTTCTTAGCCAGAGACAAGATTTCAATATAATATTCCCTTTATTAATAGGTAACATTGGTATTAATCTTTTAATCTATTAATACTAAGATTAATAGAGAATTAATCTATTAATACTAAGATTAATAGAGAATTAATCTATTAATACTAATCTTACCTTTACTATTCATTCAGCTAACATTTACTGAATGATTACCAGTGCCATACATTAGGCTAAGTGCTTTCCCATCATTATCTGAAATTCTTTATCAACAATGAGAGGGAAACAAATAGTGTCTCCATTAATAGATGAGAAAAGTAACACATGGAGAGTGGAAATCAGTTGCCCCAAATCAGACAGCTCATTAATGGCAGAAACAGGATTTGAACCCAGCTACATATGACTTTAAAGTTTGTTACATAGCTTATAGAGTTGCTTTTGATTTACCACTACAAGTCCTTTGACCCACTGAGAAACCCCCAGTTCTCCTTCCCCTGAGTATAGGATTCTGTAGTCAAATGCTCTACCACTGAGCTATACAGCCCCCCGAATATAGGATTCTGTGAGGAGACCCACATTTAATCTGAAGTCTCTTTTAACTAATGGGAAGTACTTTTTACAAAGAATACTTATTCCTACTGGCCATTACTTCTCAGTTTCCCTTATTCCCTCCAGAATGTCTTCATCGATGTTGCAATTTTCTTATTGACAATAGGGCCTCAGGGTTTATCATACCTCTTCCATAATACCTTCTTGTATTCTCCCCTCCATTTGCTATTGTGAGGAACAGAGTGGGGAGAAAGTCAGCTGTACTTTATTTGGCCAGCTGGTCCGCAGAAGTCTGAACATCAGAGCCAAGAGTCAGTCCTCAGAAGGAAGGCCAAAAGCCTGCCACGTTCCATTTGTTCTCTTTCAAAGGCCATTGCAATGGCTCTAGACAATTGTCTGGCAGGCTACATCGGAGGATATTTACTTCACACCTACTCACAGATGGCTTTACCAAGTTACACAGAAGTTCCAATTTTTCCCAAAGCTTAAGCTTATAACTAGAAAATTACAGAAGTTATAGCTGAGCAGTTATTGTCATTATTAAATATTTTCATCAGCTAATATTTGAATACTCGCATGCTAGGGAATGTACAAAACACTTAAGACTAATACCTCACTTAACGTTCACATCAACCTTGTAAAGTAGGCATTGCTGTGACCCTTATTCTACAAATAAATAAGCTGAGCCTCAGAAGGGCCAAGTAACTTGCCTAGCATCGCACAGTTAGTGAGAAATGGAGTTGATTTTAAAACTCCAGGTAGTCTGACTCTATATCATATATATATATATATATATATATATATATATATATATTTTTTTTTTGTTTTTTTTTTTTTTTTTTTTCTTTGACAGAGTCTCCCTCTGTTGCCCAGTCTGGAGTGCAGTGGCACAATCTCAGCTCACTGCAACCCTTTGGGCATTATCAAAAACAGCCAGATTGAAATTGAAATGCATGGGCTTTGCTAATCAGGAGAGCATTACAGCTAAAAGAAGACATGAATGTAAGGTAATCCAAGACACCCGTGTTTGGGTGTAAGCCCAACGAGTAAAAAGTAGAATGATTTGCACAAGGCGTCACAGATGGCAAAAGCAGAACCTAAGCTGGCACTCAGCTTGCAGATTTGCAATCACTGTTCTTTCTTCTTCACCATGCTGCCCTCTCTCTCTCTCCATTTCTATCACTCTGTTAGGACCACCCACCACTTCTCATTTGCATCACTTCCCAGTTTCTCTGAAGCCATGGCCCCAGAAATAATCACTTTTAAACTATCTGTTTTTCATTAAAGCATTCTCCTTGCAGACCTTTTCACCCTCTGCTCACTGGTTTACTCAAATGGAGGTCCTGCAATACTCTCATTACCCAAGATGCTTATGTGGCTCTTTCACAGGTGTGGATGTAGCATCCTATTGAGCTGACCCTGATTGCACTGCACAGAACAGGCCTCCTCTTTGACAGGAAGCCTGAGAGAATTCTGAAGCAGAACAACTGTCAGTATGTTGGGAGGGAATAGCCTGCTGTGAGTTGAACAGCTTCTCAGTATAAAAGCCCATTTGATTTCACATAATGGAGGCTGGGAGGATTCAGAGTGAATAATGGTGGAAGTTCATTTACATTTTTAAAAAACACATTTGCCTAGGAGCAATGTTTCATCCTAATAATCTAATCTGTAAAACACACCATTTCTTTTTCTTTTTAAAATCCCTTTCCTTAAAGTCAATGACAAATATATTTCTGCTGTCCAAATCTGCTACTATCTGTATATCTTTTAAGCATAAAATCAAGACGGTGTCTTCAATGAAAGGCTGATGTGGGCCATATAACCATTTCCACATGAGTTAATAGATTGAATGACTTGTGGGATTCTTTTTATTTAAAATGCAAGAATTCTCAATGGGGAGAGATTCCCCAGCCACATCTCCAATCTCCCCTTCCCTTGTAGGGGGAGAAAATAAGGAAGCATTACTTGGCAAGAAAGGCTTCACAGATGCTTCAGTGATTCCCAAGGTAATTCCACAGAGAAAAATCCATTCCCTTCAGGCAGCCAGGGCCACATGAACAGAATGTGTTCCACCACAAAGAGCAACATTTGTCACCCAACCAATGAAATTACATTTTTAAAACAGAATGAATTAAGGACAGTGAAAGAGTTATGATAGAGCCCTGGCAGGGAAAGAGGTGATGAATTTTCTTAGCATTAGCTTTTCCAACATGTGTTTAGAGAATCATGATATAATTGAGGTTTGCCAGGGTCATTTAGTTAATAAAAAACAACAACAACAAAAAAGTTATGATTCCTCCAATTCCTGTGATTGCACCAAAGCACATACATTCTTCATAGAAATAGAAAAAAGAATCCTAAAATTCATATGGAACCAGAAAAGACTCCAAATAACCACAGAAATCTTGAGGAAAAAGAATAAAGCTAAAAGCATCAAACAACCTGACTTGAAAATATACTACCGAGCTATAGTAACCTAAACAGCATGATACTAGCATAAAAATGGACACACAGGCCAATGGAACAGAATACAGATCCCAGAAATAAAGTCAAGTATCTAGGCCAGGTGCAGTGGCTCATGCCTGTAATCCCAGCACTTTGGGAGGCCGAGGCAGGAGGATCACCTGAGGTCACGAGTTCAAGACCAGCCTGGCCAACATGCTGAAACCCAATCTCTATTAAAAATACAAAAATTAGCCAGGCATGGTTGTGTGTGCCTGTAGTCCCAGCTACGTGGGAGGCTGAGACAGGGGAATTGCTTGAATCCAAGAGTCGGAGATTGCAGTGAGCCAGGATCCCACTACTGCACTCCAGCCTGGGCAACAGAGCAAGACTCTGACTCAAAAAAAAAAAAAAATCATGTATCTACAGCCAACTGATTTTCAACAAAAGTGCCAAGAACACATAATGGGGGAATAACAGTCTCTTCCATACATGGTGCTGGGGAAACTGAATATCTACATGCAGAAGACTGAAAGTTGATGCTGATCTCACACTATATACAAAAATCAACTCAAAATGGATTAATTACTTAAACATAAGGCCTGAAACTATAAAACTACTAAAAGAAAACATGGGGGAAAAGCTCCATGACATTGATTTAGGCAAATGATTTTTTGGATGTGACTCAAAGCACAGGCAATCAAAGTAAAAATGTACAAATGGGATTACATCAAACTAAAAAGCCTCTGCACAGCAAAGGAAACAACCAAGACAGTAAAGCAACAACTTACAAAATAGGAGAAAATATATACAAACTATTATCTCATAAGGGATTACTATCCAAAACACATAAGGAACTTAATAGCAAAAACAAACAAAACACCTAAATAACCCAATTAAAAATGGGCAAAAGTCCTGAATAAACATTTCACAAAAGACATAGGAATAACCAAGTTATATAAAAGTTGCTCAACATCAACAATCAGGGAAATGTAAATCAAATACCCAGTGAGATATAACCTCATTCCTTTTAGAATGATTGTTATCAAAAAGACAAACCATAACAAGTGTTGCCAAGGATATGGATAAAGAGAATTCTTGTACATTATTGATGGGAATGTAAATTAGTACAGCTATTATGGAACACAGTATGGGTTCCTCAAAACATTACAAATAGAACTACCATATGATTCAGCAATTCCACTTCTAGGTACATATGCAAAAGAAATAGAATCAGTAAGTTGAAGACCTCTCTGTATTCCTATACTCATTGCAGCACTATTCACAATAGCCAAGATACGACAAAATCAACCAAAGTGTCCACTGATGGATGAATGGATAAAGAAAATGTGGTATATGTACAATGGAATCCAATCAGCCATAAAAAGAAGGAAATCCTGCCATGTTAAAACAACATGGATGAACCCGAAGGAAATCCATTAAGTGAAATAACCCAGGTACAGAAAGACAAATACCACATGATTCCACTTATATGTGGAATCTAAAAAAGTTTATCTCATAGATAGAGTAAAATGGCAGTTACCAGAGGCTGGGACAATTGGGGATGGTGGGTTGGAGAGATGCTGGCTCAAGGGATACAAAATTATAGATAGGAAAAATATGTTCAAAAGGACTATTTTACAGCATGATGACTATCATTAATTATGACATATTGTATTCTTGAAAGATGTTAAGGGAGTAGATATTAAGTATTCTCATCATAAAATAACTGTGAAATAATACATCTATTAGGTAAATTTAACCATTCCATTATGTATTTGTTCTTAAAAATAACGTGTTGTATACAATAAATACCATTTTATCTGTCAATTTTTTAAATAAATGTGAAAAAAGTTAAAAATGCAAATTATTATAAAATACATGTAAATATCTATTTTAATATTCCCTCACTCCCAACCCTAGTGTTGCCTCTTGTTGTATGGGCCTTACCCTTTGGAGACCTCTGATCCAAAGAATGAGATCAGAGACTCCTGCCTCCACACATTATCTCACTTTTCCTCTACCGGTAATCAACCTATAACCAGACAGCAACCACTGACAGTGCAACTACCATGGTCAGGTGAGAAGCAGGTACTGTGGGGGCTGTAATGAATTTCTGGAAATTGAATGCCACGTGCTTGTGAAAACCCAAGTGTTCAACTCTTGGTCAAAGGCTATATAAGCTCTATCATCTCTATAACTCTTTCCAGCCTATTTGGATCTGAAATACTCCTTTTACCCACTCCCCCCCTCCACCCCAGTTATTCCCTGTAATGAACTGACATTTGTCTGGGATCAGGCATTTTCAAGTGTTCTCATGTCTGTCACTACCATAAGTCAGAGAGAGAGGCAGCTTAATTTTCTTTTCCTCAGATATAAAAAATAAAAATTGTTTAAGGTTTCACAGTTATTAAGTGGTATACCTACAGCATTCAAATCTTGGTCTCACTCTAAACTACATCAACACCACCACTTTTCCAATAATACATATAACCTTTGTCATTCATTTCAAGTAAGTTCTACATATACTTTTGTAATAATAATTATTACCTAGAGTTTAGGCTCCTTCAGCAAGCCATTTCTGAGAGCGCCTCCTCTAAAGTTGTGTCTCCCAGCATTGAATTTCCTATGTGAACTTGTACTTGGAACCTGGTACATGCCAGGAATAGTGCATAAGTTCTCTCACTCAATTTTCCTGATAATTTTTCCACATTGCATAATTATATCCATTTTAAAATGAACAAAGTACATCAGACAGAAGTTTAAAACCTTCTAAGATCACTGATTTTATAAAGGGATTGAGTTGGGATTGAACCTTGCTCAACTCCCAAGCCCTTACTCCACCAGATTATTTTATATGCCCTTTATCAGGAATAGGTTCATTACCATTAATTTCCTTGATGGGCTTGCTACCTGTGCATTTTACATGTTCCAGATACATGTGACTGAAACTTCTTCATGTGACTGCTGTTAGTCACATGCTAAGTACCCATTACATGATAAATATTTTTTCTCCTCGGATAAGTCTCTTTAAAATATAAATACTTGTCAATGGTTCAGATTAGAACATGTCAACAACAACAAGAAGGAATACTTGCTGATGAAAGTTAAAGAATACATTGGACTTCATTCCACATAAATGAATTCTATATGTGGTCCTTGTGTCTGATTTCATTCACTTAGCAGAATGTTTTCAAGCTTCATCCATGTTATAGCAGATATCAGTAGCTCATTCTTTTTTATAGCAGAATTACATTTCATTATATATATATACCACATTCCATTTATTCACCAGTTGTTGCATATTTGTGTTGTTTCATTTTTTTTACTATTACAAATAATGCTGCTATGAACATTTGTGTGAAAGTTTTTGTGTGGATATGTGTTTTCATTTCACTTTCGTAAATACCCAGGGAGAAAAGAGCAGAAAGAATATTTTAGGAAATAATAGCCCCACATTTCCCAAATTTGAAGAAAAACATTAATCTTACACATCTAAGAATATCAGTGAACTACAGGTAGGATAAACTCAAAGAGTTCTACATCCAAACATATCATATTTTAAGCTATTGAAAATTTTACAAAAAAGAGAATCTGGAAGACTGCAAGAGAAAAAACGTAGTCTTCACATACAATGAGGTCCTCAAAAAGATTAAGAGCACACTTCTTATCATAAACCATGAAGAACAGAAGGCAGTGGTGTGACATTTTCAAAGTGCTAAAAGAAAACAAAAAAAGAATATCATTCTATATCCAGCAAACTCTAGGCAAATCTGTAAAGACAGAAAGAAGATTGTGATTACCAGGGACTGAGGGGTAGGAAAAGGAACTGCTAATGAGTATGGGATTTCTTTATGGGTTGATTAACATATTCTAAAATTAGATAATTGTGCCTGTTCCACAACTCTCTCACTAAAATTCACTGTATTATACACTTCAGTAGGGTGACTGTTATGTGAATTATTTCTCAATAAAGCTCTTTCAAAAAAAGCAAAACCCATTATAGAGTTAATGGTATACAAGGGATAGCCATCATCATTATTGCTATTTTTATTACTTTTTCATGAGTCAGTCTGGCTGCTGTGTGAAGAACGGATTCTTTGGGGGAAAACAGGTTAGAGGCTACTGCAGTACACATAGGCAAGAGACCCCAGAGGCCTAAATGAGGTGATTTTGAAGATGGAGAGAAGAGGCAAGATTCAGGATAAATTTTGAGGTAGAGCACCCATGTAATGAAAACACAGCAGTGCCCTTGGTTAAAATATCTTTGTGTCTGTATGCCTGCAGTAACCCTTAGTGAACAAACCACCACCAACTCCCCAAGCAAATACAGCTGCTATCAAAGGAAACCTTTTAAGCATAGAGACTATTTTCTCGTTTCCTGCCCAGTTGCTGACTCAAGAGCTATTTCAATCAAATACTTTTGGTTCTTTGAAAAAAGATAAAAGATAACATTTGTCTAAGCTGATTAGTCTAAAGATTTTCATGTGGCAAGTCTGTAGAGAAAACAATTAAGGCCCATGATCCAAGTGATAGGTGGTTAGCTTCCAGATCTAACAAAGATGGATTAGAAGTTGGAATTCAAGGAAAGAATCAGTCAGTGTGCTCCTGACTCACCCAGCCATAAACAAGTGAACAGGGAATCCTCAATTGGTAAGGAGACAACTGCTCAAAGGTATGAAATTCCTGGCCAGATCTTGTCAATTGTTAATGTCTGACATGGTATTGAGGGCCAGCTGTGATTTCCATGCAATGCTCTGGAATGAGCTGGTCAGGTTATAATTAAGACCACTGAGGTCTTATCCCCCCCATTGTAATGATCTCCAGGGGGAAAATACTTGAAATGGGCCTTTATGGATTGGTAATTCCTTCTGACAATAATGGGTTGAAAAAAACCCTAATAATTAAGTATTAAAAAATAAAACTACTCCATATTTGAGAGTTTGATGTTAAAGAGAATTAACATTTAATGAGTATAAATAATATTCAGAGACTGCAAATTACTTTATATGCATTGCTTCATTTAATCCTCACAACTTTATGAGGTAGTTACCATTATTGTTCACATTTTGAGAGATGAAAGATCACAGCTATTAAGTGGTGGAACAAGAAAACTATCTTCAAACCCAGACTATTTGATTCCAGAGCAGCTTTATAAGGTACATTACCAAAGATAAACACTATTTTCCTCTGGCCTAATAGGAAGATATCCAAGATTATGTAGTCTGAGCCCCATTCATCAACAACCTCAAACATTCTTTCAGTTGATATTTACTTTGAGCTTAAGAAATGTAACGCAGTGTCCATCAAAATGTCAAAAAATTAACTAAAAAATGTTATACTTAGCTCTGCTAGACATTTTAAGTAGGAGATACAAAGGCCACATAGGATTTTTGTCCAAAGTATCTTTGAACCTAAAGAAACAGACAACAATCTTGCAGAATACAATGCAAGATGGCATAAAATTACATGCTCTATTGTGTGGCCCAGAAAGTGTATACTGTGAGAAGTAATAGTTAAAATGAATTTTGACATCTTCACAGATGCTTATGACTATAAAACTCCATTTTAGTAACCACAAAAATGTGCCTTGACTAAGAGTAAAGAAATATGGTGGTCAAAAAGGAGGATCACTTTTACTTTAAGAAAAATTTCATGGTCTATACAACTCATAGAAATCTCAAAAATGGTTCCCTTGCTTTTGGAATTGCAGGATTATAGAAAAGTTAGGTAACTCATAAGAGTAAACAAACTTGAGGTATGAGAAAAGGGCACATGGAAACTGTCTTCAAATATGGGCATGACCATTCCACAAAGCAGCCATATGTTTGTTTCTTGTAGCTTCAAAACAGTGAAAGGACAAAAAAGAGAACATTCTCATGTGCATTTATTAATAGAGACATTATGGTAATGCAACATTTTTAATGGTCTATAATGGAAAGCTGCACATTTTGTTGTTTGAAAGGTGTGGGAAAAAAATACCAGTAACATGGAAACACAAACATTCTAGCTACATAGTGGCTTGCCTTTGAGGTTCATCCATGATAGGTTAGTCCAGTATGATGGCATCCTTACACCTATACACATCACATTCTGTGTCCCCTCCTGGAAACACAAGTTACTCATTCTTCCCTCTAAATAAACCCACAGAATTCAGTCAACTATTTAAAGACTACCCTATGTCCCCATCCATACTGATAGATTCCTCCCTTCTTTGAACTTATGTTGCATGTATTACTTGAGTCCTACAATACCATCTCTTCACTATTCCCCTGGATGAATCTGACCTCCCAAGCAGAAAAAGGCAGATCTGCATCTTCTACTTCTATGGTATTTCCAGTAGAGCCCAGTGCAAATGTGGAAACAGGCTGGTCAAAAATAGCACAAATAATTTGTGTTACAATCAATAGGTTACCAGGTACTCCCAGAAACACTATTTAGTTGAAGTCTTATTAACAACCTACTAATATAATTGTTGAGAAAATGGAAGTTGAGTTATGTAAGTGATATATTTATGGTCCCATAGCTAATGAATAGGATGAGTTCTGCTTCTCTGAACCCGAGCTTGGTATGATTAGGTCATCCTGTTATATGATCTCATAGTACTCTGAACTTCTATTGCCTCTTCAACTTAATAAATAAACCAGCAATTATTTGCTTTTACTTTTTCCCCTAAGTCTATGAACTCCATATGGGTAAGATTCTACCTGGTTCATCCCAATATTTTCTATAGTCTTTGGCATGGATAGGCACAAACTAAATATTTGTGGAAGAAAGAGAGGAGAGGAGAGGAAAGAGAAGGAATGGAAGTGTCAATAAATGTTAGGCTGGAACCAGAGTCAAAGACTGGAGTTATAGGTGAGTCTATAGTTCTGTATCTTACATGCATGTAGGCAAACTCTATCTGACTCGTTCTGGGGGTTAGGAATTGTGTGAGAGCATTAATGAGAAGAGAAACTAAGAAAGCATGAGAGCATGATTTAAATAGTATAAGCAGTTCCATACACCATTCCCCTCAATAAGCCTCATGTCCAGTAGTGAGTGTGAGGTGGGAGACTTAGCAGATCTAGTTCTTACCTGTGCTTCATGGAATGAACATCTAACAGGGCTGTATGTGCTTTCTGTTTAATGACACACTGCACTTTTTTCTATATTACACAGTCCTGAAAATACTTTAACTATATTCATCCAAAGAAATAGATATCTGTTTTGTCACTGGAGGAAAAACTGGCCCTGTTGAATTTCTGAGGTATTATGTCACCTGCTTAGGATATTTTCAAGAATAGTTGTAACTAAACCTGATGTTTGCCTCCCATGCTGACTTGAGAGTCCGTTTTTAAATATGAGGCTTGACTGCCTTGTTAGTCTTCATTGATGCACTAGTTCTACTGAACTTGCCTTTTATCTTAAAATAACATCTTAAAATTCTGTAATTTTAGAGGAGAATTTTTCTCTACTGCCTTTTTCTTCTGAGTCACAAAATACTTGTGAATCTAAATAGAAGACACCCTTTTCTTCAAAATACCTGTAAAATGCTGCTGGCTAGAAACTTCAAAACAAATAAAAACCTCTCTCGCGCCTTGTAGAATTACAAGGGCGTTCTGTAAAATCAATACGGCTGAAATGCACTCGGTATTGAGTTGGCCTTGGGAAAAGGGTACTCATCTAAGACAGCAGACATTCCCTCCAGTTGAGGCTTTGAATTTAATTAATGGCTTTATAGGGAAGGGTTTGCTTTCCTGAGGATCCTAGACTTGGTTTTCAAACACCACCCTTCTTCTGATTTATGTTGTGATCCTGGGCAATTTATTTCCCATCTTTGAACTCGGTGTCCCCATCAATTAAAAGAAAAGTCAGAGAAAGTAATGTCTATGGTTGTCTCCATCCTTGGCAAAGTGACTCCACATTCAAGCCACATCAAATAAGCATATAAATTAAACCAATGTGTCCATTTTAAGACAAGGTTTCTAGCTCATATAAGACTCTCCAACTAAGAAATTCTGGAACTACCACTATCTGTAACTATGGTTCTGGTTTTAAAAGATGGAGGATGATACAGAAGGGCAAGGGCCACTTTAGTTTGTCATGTATTTCAAATTTAAGTAAAATTTCTAATATAACTTCTGGGGCTAACCTTAAAGAATAAAAAAAAAAATCCCCTTATGGTTGACTTTAGGATATGTCCTGGTCAGCTAACAATGTCTTTCAAAATCCCAGACACCCTTCAGAAATTTTACCTGTAAAATTCCCCTGTTAGAAGGCAAATCCTATTGGCAGGGCAACCCCCTAAGGCCATGTTTGTTATTTACGAGCTGGGGAAATAGGGATACAAGTAGGTGGTACTGGGGTATAGAAATACTAAGTTAGGTGCCAGACACTAAAGCCATATTTCACTAATCCACAATTTGCCAAGGTGTCTCCCACACTAGGTCTCTAGTTGCAATAATTGAGTATTTCATATGGTTTTGCCCAAAAGGCTGTCCACTCTGCAAATCATTGTTATCTGAAGCCCTCAAAGAACACAAGATTTCTTTATTCTACCTACTGAGTGGTACTTCTGTCCTGTAAACTTACAAAGTGTAGGAATTCAGGACAGAGACACAGCTGGAATAGGAACAATAGAAACTTTTTACAACTAGTTATGCCTTTAAAGCAATAAGTAAAAATAAAGACAGGCACAGACATGGCTTTTGTTAAAGATGACAAAAAGATACCACAGGAAACAGTGTTAAACCAAGACCTTGGGAATCACAGACAATATAGGAAAAAGGTGGTACTTTTTATGCAAATACCACCCCCATCAATTAATGGTACAGATGTTGTTCAACCCATCCTTCCCCTCCCCTGGGCATCTCCCATGATCTATCCCAGCTATGGCTTTGCCCAAGAAGTCACCAATTCTAACACTCTCATTTTACATTTTGTGTGACTGAGGCATAGCATCCAAAAATAGCTATTTGCTTATGGGCACATAACAAGTTTTAGTGGCAAAACATAAACTCTCTCGTCTGTCTACAATTTTGTTGGTAGCTGTGTTTATGGCAGAGTCCTAAATTATACTTATTCTCCCAAGAACAATTTTTTTTTCAGAAATATGCCAAACTACCGGCAGTAGAAAAATTCATAAAAGCAACCCATTTCATTCTCAGGACAGACAAGGACTAAGATGCTTAAATTAAATTTAATTTAAAAAGAAAAAAGAAACACCTTGGGATTATCTAGTTCTATCTGCCAAGTGCAAAATTTCATGCTGATTCATGTCAGTTCTCTTCCTACAATCACATCTCCCATTTATAATTGCTAAATATGCCAGGTTCACAACATTTCCCCATTTGGGTGCCCTATTTGAATTTGTATATAAATACTCACTCCTCCAAATGTTCCATTTGAATACACAAAATATCCATTTCAGCACAGAGTGCATAAATTCTAGGCCAGAGGAGTGTGATGTACTGCAAAATAGCACCAACTCTGGAGTCAGGTCATAGAGATACAGACATGGCTCAAGTGTATCCTGGCCATGGGACCTTGGGTAAGTCAGTTTCTCTGTCTGAACCTGTTTTCTTAATCCCAACGCAGAGGAAATGAGACTTTTCATGTTCCTCTCGCTGAAAAATTGGAAGAATCATATGAGGCCATAGATATGATGTTTTTAACTGTTCATGATCCTTGCTTTGAGTTAAAAGAAATATAATCGGAGGCAGATATTTAAATACGTTACAAGGAACTTTGGAGCCAAGTGGTATGTGCTCAGTTCCAATCTTTCTACCAACTTGCTTATGTTTCTTCTCTGGGCTGTAAGTCCTCATCAATGAAATAAGAATGCAAGATTGAATAATTTTTAAATCTCTGCTCTAATTCTGAATCTGGCCAATTCAGTGTTTGCAGCATTATTTAACAGTCCTGTCATCGTGACTTGAGTTTTTGTCATATCATTACCTGAATAAACTCTCTAACCCCTTTCAGAGCCAGGATTCTGCCTCTATCCACGTGGAATATGGGACTATTATATAGAACAGTAAAACTTGCCATATGTAACAACTAAAGACAATGTGGGACCCCTAAGCTGGGTCCTGGAAGAGGGGACAAAAATAGTGAAAAAAAACTGATGAAATATAAATACAGTCTAAGTTAGTTAATAATTTTGTTCCAGTGTTAATTTCTTGGTTTTGATCTTTGTTATATGGTTAGGTAAAACGTTAACATTACTTATGAGAAGCTGAATTAAGTGTTCACAAGAACTCCCTGTACTGTCTTTATAACTCATGGGAAGTCTAAGATTATCTCAAAACAAAATGTCAAAAACATATGCACACTATTTTTCATAGGAATCATCTGAAGCATGAGTTGAAAACACAAATTTCTCCAATCCCAGAGACATGGAAATGATAGTCCTGGAGCAGAGCCCAGGAATCTGCATCTCAACAGGTATACCAGGAGACTCTGATGCAGATTTCTTAGGAATAATACTTGAAAAAACTCTGATCTGAAAGGAGCACCACTTCACAATAAAATGAGTGATAATTACAGATAAGTAAATTAAAAATATATATAACCCGAGGATATAAAAGGGCTCTGGGATATCTAAGTTTGGGGTTTACCTCTTTCAATTGCAGTATAAAATTAGACAAATTACTAATATATTGGGCCTCACAATCCTCATTATAAAGGAAGAAGGTAGATTATAGGTCACTAATGGGATTCCTGTAGAATACATAAATAGAAAGTCCAGAATGGTGAACAGTATTCCCCAAAACCTCACATTGGCAGCCACAAGTCTCTTACAGCATCTCTGTGGATTCCTTTCTCTTATGCTACTCAACAGGGCCAAGCTGCAGCATCTGTCCTAACCATGCAAGGGTCTGGTCCTGCAGTGAGTTAAAGCACAGCCACAAAGGGGACACAGCCAGGTTAACAAAACACAGCCCCTATAACTAGGTCAGCAGCAGGGGATGTTAAATTTTGAATTTGCTTAATTGAGTGGAAAATCAGAGACTGTAATTCCAATAGCAAGCTCTTTCGCATTGTGAAATAGAAATCCTAACCTCCATCTGTGAAGACTCTGGGGAAAAGAAATAAGGTCTTTGGCTCTAGGCCTTTCATTACAGAGCAATTTTATAACAGATGAGGCTACAGACTCACAGCTACTGTGTCTCTGGAGAGACCCTGCCCAGAAGAAAAAGGAGAAATGTGGATTTAAATTAGCTCAGAGCAACTAAATGTAAGAGTGGCACTAACTAGAGTCTGGGCATGGCCCCTTGCTTCTTGCTTGACTATTATCTCTTCTAAGTGTAGTGCATGCATACACACACACACACACACACACACACACACACACACACACACTAGTGTGAGTATAAACTTTCCTAATCAGAGGGGTTGGGGTATATACATAAACAGAAATTCCCACAGCACAGGTAATACGCCAAACTCATCCGATTCCAATTCTGTTGACCTGACTCAAGAGGTTAAGTAGATTAATGTGGGTTTTTAGAATTTTTTTTTTTGTACAAAGAGCTTTAAATCAAATTACATTTATTAACAGACAAGTAACCAATTACATGGAAATACCTGTCTTTAGGAGAAGTCAACTCAATAAATATCTTCAAAAAATACTATTTACACTTTTTTTGGTTATAGAAAATCCAAAACCAATGCCAATATTTCTTAAATTACTTTGTTTTCAGAAACAACGCAATGAAAGTCCTTTAATAGATTCAGAGAGAAATAAATGTAATTTATTATTAAAATACAATTTTGCCTAACAGTATTATTTTTATTGAATCTGTTTTCATTTATGTTGCATTCAGACATGGGATTCTAAAGCTGACTAGCTTTTGAGATATATTGAATAGACTCTTAAGAAAAGTTGTAATGGCACAGAGTGGCACAGTCATCAAAATTAAATTGACTAAATTAAATTAAATTGACTATCAGGAACTCTGTAGAATTTCCAATAAAGTGACCAAAAATTATTAGCTCTCACTATGGATTTTATATTTGGTCTGATATAAATGTTAGAAAGTTTTTCTTTATATCGATCTCAAAGTACTTAAATTTCAACCTGTGTTATTTCTAGTTCTATTATTTGGAGCTGAATAATATATCCTTTATTTTTAAGGGCAGCATGGCTTCTTATTTTCTTTAATGTTTTTAATAGTACCTACAAATCGACTCTAAATCTTTCCTTTCAATAGAACATATGACACTAACGTTTTCTGAGTGTAAACATGTCACTTGTTATTATAGACCATGATTATACAGCATATTTAACTTCTTTAAACCTTGGTTTCCTCATTTGTAAAAAGGAGCAAAAAAATTGACATCACTTAATTTTCATCTTAAAAACAAGTTTTAAGTTGTACTTTATGTTGAATTACACACACACACACACACACACACACACAGAGAGAGAGAGAGAGAGAGAGAGAGAAAAGAAAGTGGGATAAAGCATCCAAATTGAGATGCAGGTGCTCAAAAGCAGCAGCAAGAATTTGAATCCAGACCCAACAACTCTAAAACTCCACACCTTTATTAGGATGACTCCAGGGAAACAATTGTAGATTCCAGTGCTTTTCCTGAAAGCCAAAATGAATTTAGACCTCTAAAACATAAAGAGAAGAGAAAAATTGGGGATGGAGGGGGGATGGCATATCTGATTTGTCAGTTTGACAGTTTGTGTTTAACAATGGTTTCCTCAGAGTAAAACATGCTAGGTATGTAGAACGAGTTCCCCTAGCATCTGGAACCAAGATCTAACCCAAGGTGAAATATAATGAACAGAAATCATTTCATGTATTTATTCCAGAGATCCTAATCTTCTGGATAAAGAATTACAGGTATGGGCATGGAAATAATCAACCGGAGTCAATAAGCTGAAAGTTAGTGTGTTGAATCAGTAGTTCAATCTTCCTTTATGTTTTGCTTTGTTTACCAGGGGTCAGACCATGTTATTTGTTTAACCAAGACTACTGCTTACTGTTGTGTAAGTTTTTTGTTTCCCAACTCTAGAGGGCACTACTCACATTCCTTGTCACTATGTATTTGTTGTGATATCAGGGCAATTTTCAAGCAGATCACATTAAAGTGACTTAAAGAAGTTTAAATTGAAAATATATATTATGTATATTTTATATGCAATATATATCATATAACAGATATTATTTGTAATATATAATATGATATGTTATATATTTTATATTATATATCATATATAATATCTATTATATGTAATATATAATGATATGTAATATATAACATAAAATATATATAATATATGATATATAATATATATGATATGATTATATATAATATATAATCATATCATATATTAAATATATTATATATATCAGATAATAGCAGGGTTGTGCTTTGCCTTAGAACCACAAAGAGAGAAATATCTGGAGGATTGTGCTAAGTCACAGCATAAAACCCTTTGTATTGTAGACAAAGCAGGAAAAAATCCAAGCATCAGTAGAAGAAAAGATAAAAGTGCTCAGGAATTGTGGCACATTCCTTTCTGGCATTCTCCTAGTCTTCCAACTCATTTGAGCACCCTACCTGCTTAGAAAGCCCATAACCCTGGCTCAATTCTACAGTCTTCTGTCTCTGCCCTTCTAAGTGACTAGCATCACTAGAAAGATTCATTTCACTGTGAAAATCAGAGTCTTTATAATTTCATGAGTTGAAGCTGCTTATGAGCCTCATGTTTTTTGTGATCAGTTCACTTTCCCATTTTTCATGGGAATTCTGCAGGCCTTTATCACTATCCTCAAGCCCAGTACTCAGCCCTTGTATCTCTCTTAAAGTATGGTTCAGTATTCTATTTCATCAAAAAATTGAGGCCACCAAGGGTGATTTGCAACTATCTTCCCTACTGCCAACTACAAATTACCTGTGTCTATACCAATCCTCACCTTCATTCCTCCAGTCTTTAAAAATAACATGATATAGCATTCCCTCCAGAAACTGCTCCCTCTTGTGTACATTCATGTTCCTTCTTCCACCTTTGGTTGTAGATATTTAACGGAAGCCAGAACAACCTTATCTGCATCTCCCACAGCTGCCTGAAATGTAACTTGTCTAAACTTCTATCTTCTCCCCTAAATTGCTTTTTCCTACCAATATTCTTGATATAATTTCGTAGTACTATCAACCTGTAAATCAGGGAGTGTTTTCTCTTCATTTACATTATGTATATCTCCTAATGCTATCCCTCCCCCTCCCCCCACCCCACAACAGGTCCCAGTGTGTGATGTTCCCTACCCTGTGTCCAAGTGTTCTCATTGTTCAATACCTACCTATGAGTGAGATTATGTGGTGTTTGGTTTACTGTCCTTGTGATAGTTTGCTGAGAATGATGGTTTCCAGCTTCATCCATGTCCCTACAAAGGACATGAACTCATCCTTTTTTATGGCTGCAGAGTATTCTGTGGTGTATATGTCCTACATTTTCTTAATCCAGTCTATTATTGATGGAAAATTGGGTTGGTTCCAAGTCTTTGCTATTGTGAATAGTGCTGCAATAAACATACGTGTGCATGTGTCTTTATAGCAGCATGATTTATAAACCTTTGGGTATATACCCAGTAATGGGATGGCTGGGTCAAATGGTATTTCTAGTTCTAAATCCTTGAAGAGTCACCATACTGTCTTCCACAACGGTTTAACTAGTTTACAGTCCCACCAACAGTGTAAAAGTGTTCCTGTTTCTCCACATCCTCTCCAGCACCTGTTCTTTCCTGACTTTTTAATGATCGCCATTTTAATTGGTGTGAGATGGTATCTCATTGTGGCTTTGATTTGTATTTCTCTGATGGCCAGTGATGATAAGCATTTTTTCATGTGTCTGTTAGCTGCATAAATGTCTTCTTTTGAAAAGTGTCTGTTCATATCCTTTGCCCACTTTTTGATGGGGTTGTTTGATTTTTTCTTATAAATTTGTTTAAGTTCTTTGTAGATTCTGGATATTAGCCCTTTGTCAGATGGGTAGATTGTAAAAATTTTCTCTCATTCTGTAGGTTGCCTGTTCACTCTGATGGTAGTTTCTTTTGCTGTGCAGAAGCTCTTTAGTTTAATTAGATCCCATTTGTCAATTTTGGCTTTTGTTGACATGGCTTTTGGTGTTTTAGTCATGAAGTCATTGCCCATGTCTACGTCCTGAATGGTATTGCCTAGGTTTTCTTCTAGGGTTTTTATGGTTTTACATCTAATATTTAAGTCTTTAATCCATCTTGAATTAATTTTTGTATAAGGTGTAAGGAAGGGATCCAGTTTCAGCTTTCTACATATAGCTAGCCAGTTTTCCCAGCACCATTTATTAAATAGGGGATCCTTTCCCCATTGCTTGTTTTTCTCAGGTTTCTCAAAGATCAGATGGCTGTAGATGTGTGGTATTATTTCTGAGGACTCTGTTCTGTTCCATTGGTCTGTTTCTGTTTTGGTACCAGTACCATGCTGTTTTGGTTACTGTAGCCTTGCAGTATAGTTTGAAGTCAGGTAGCATGACGCCTCCAGTTTTGTTCTTCTGGCTTAGGATTGTCTTGGCAATGCAGACTCTTTTTCGGTTCCATATGAACTTTAAAGTAGTTTTTTCCAATTCTGTGAAGAAAGTCATTGGTAGCTTGATGGGGACGGCATTAAATCTATAAATTACCTTGGGCAGTATGGCCATTTTCACAGTATCGATTCTTCCTGCCCATGAGCATGGAATGTTCTTCCATTTGTTTGTGTCCTCTTTTATTTTGTTGAGCAGTGGTTTGTAGTTCTCCTTGAAGAGGTCCTTCACATCCCTTGTAAATTGGATTCCTAGGTATTTTATTCTCTTTGAAGCAGTTGTGAATGGGAGTTCACTCATGATTTGGCTCTCTGTTTGTCTGTTATTGGTGTATAGGAATGCTTGTGATTTTTGCACATTGATTTTGTATCCTGAGACTTTGCTGAAGTTGCTTATCAGTTTAAGGAGATTTTGGGCTGAGATGATGGGGTTTTCTAGATATACAATTCATGTCATCTGCAAACAGGGACAATTTGACTTCCTCTTTTCCTAATTGAATACCCTTTATTTCTTTCTCCTGTCTGATTGCCCTGGCCAGAACTTCCAACATTTTGTTTAATACGAGTGGTGAGAGAGGGTGTCCCTGTCTTGTGCCAGTTTTCAAAGGGAATGCTTCCAGTTTTTGCCCATTCAGTATGATATTGGCTGTGGGTTTGTCATAGATAGCTCTTATTATTTTGAGATACATCCCATCAATACCTAATTTATTGAGAGTTTTTAGCAAGAAGGGCTGTTGAATTTTGTCACAGGCCTTTTCTGCATCTATTGAGATAATCATGTGGTTTTTGTCTTTGGTTCTGTTTATATGATGGATGACGTTTATTGACTTGTGCATATTGAACCAGCCTTGTATCCCAGGGATGAAGCCCACTTGATTGTGGTGGACAAGCTTTTTGATGTGCTGCTGGATTTGGTTTGCCAGTATTTTATTGAGGATTTTCACATCAATGTTCATCAGGGATATTGGTCTAAAAATTCTCTTTTTTTGTTGTGTCTCCGCCAGGCTTTGGTATCAGGATGACGTTGGCCTCATAAATGAGTTAGGGAGGATTCCCTCTTTTTCTATTGATTGGAATAGTTTCAGAAGGAATGGTACCAGCTCCTCTTGATACCTCTGGTAGAATTCGGCTCTGAATCTGTCTGGTCCTGGACTTTTTTTGGTTGGTAGGCTATTAATTATTGCCTCAATTTCAGAGCCTGTTATTGGTCTATTCAGGGATTCAACTTCTTCCTGGTTTAGTCTTGGGAGGGTGTATGTGTCGAGGAATTTATCCATTTCTTCTAGATTTTCTAGTTTATTTGCGTAGAGGTGTTTATAGTATTCTCTGATGGTAGTTTGTATTTCTGTGGGATTGGTGCTGATATATCCCCTTTATCATTATTATTTATTGCATCTATTTGATTCTTCTCTCTTTTCTTCTTTATTAGTCATGCTACTGGTCTATCAATTTTGTCGATCTTTTCAAAATAACAGCTCCTGGATTCATTGACTTTATGAAGGGATTTTTGTGTCTCTATCTCCTTCAGTTCTGCTCTGATCATAGTTATTTCTTGCCTCCTGCTAGCTTTTGAATGTGTTTTCTCTTGCTTCTCTAGTTCTATTAATTGTGATGTTAGGGTGTCACTTTTAGAACTTTCCTCCTATCTCTTGTGGGCATTTAGTGATATAAATTTCCTTCTACACACTGCTATAAATGTGTCCCAGAGATTCTGGTATGTTGTGTCTTTGTTCTCATGGTTTCAAAGAACATCTTTATTTCTGCCTTCATTTCGTTATTTACCCAGTAGTCATTCAGGAGCAGGTTGTTCAGTTTCCATGTAGTTGAGCGGTTTTGAGTGAGTTTCTTATTCCTGAGTTCTAGTTTGATTGCACTGTGGTCTGAGAGACAGTTTGTTATAATTTCTGTTCTTTTACATTTGCTGAGGAGTGCTTTACTTCCAACTATGTGGTCAATTTTGGAATAAGCGTGATGTGGTGCTGAGAAGAATGTATATTCTGTTGATTTGGGGTGGAGGGTTCTGTAAATGTCTATTAGGTCTGCTTGGTGCAGAGCTGAGTTCAATTCCTGGACATCCTTGTTAACTTTCTGTCTCATCGATCTGTCTAATGTTGACAGTGGGGTGTTAAAGTCTCCCATTATTCTTGTGTGGGAGTCTAAGTCTCTTTGTAGGTCACTCAGGACTTGCTTTATGAATCTGGGTGCTCCTGTATGGGGTGCGTATATATTTAGGATAGTTAGCTCTTCTTGTTGAATTGATCCCTTTACCATTATGTAATGGCCTTCTTTGTCTCTTTTGATCTGTGTTGGTTTAAACTCTGTTTTATCAGAGACTAGGATTGCAACCCGTGCTTTTTTGTGTTTTCCATTTGCTTGGTAGATCTTCCTCCATCCCTTTATTTTGAGCCTATGTGTGTCTCTGCACGTGAGATGGGTCTCTTGAATACAGCACACTGTTGGGTCTTGACTCTTTATCCAATTTGCCAGTCTGTGTCTTTTAATTGGAGCATTTAGCCCATTTACATTTAAGGTTAATATTGTTATGTGTGAATTTGATCCTGTCGTTATGATTTTAGCTGGTTATTTTGCCCATTAGTTGATGCAGTTTCTTCCTAGTATCGATCATCTTTACAATTTGGCATGTTTTTGCAGTGGCTGGTACCAGTTGTTCCTTTCCATGTTTAGTGCTTCTTTCAGGTGCTCTTGTAAGGCAGGCCTGGTGATGACAAAATCTCTCAGCATTTGTTTGTCTGTGAAGGATTTTATTTCTCCTTCACTTATGAAGCTTAGTTTGGTTGGATATGAAATTCTGGGTTGAAAATTCTTTGAAGAATGTTGAATATTGGCCCAAACTCTCTTCTGGCTTGTAGAGTTTCTGCCAAAAGATCCGCTGCTAGTCTGATGTGCTTACCTTTGTGGGTAAGCCGACCTTTCTCTTTGGCTGCCCTTAACATTTTTTCCTTCATTTCAACTTTGGTGAATCTGACAATTATGTGTCTTGGAGTTGCTCTTCTCAAGGAGTATCTTTGTGGAATTCTCTGTATTTCCTGAATTTGAATGTTGGTCTGCCTTGCTAGGATGGGGAAGTTCCCCTGGATAATATATCCTAAAGAGTGTTTTCCCACTTGGTTCCATCCTCCCCATCACTTTCAGGTATACTAATCAGATGTAGATTTTTTCTTTTCACATAATTTCATATTTCTTGGAGGCTTTGTTCATTTCTTTTTACTCTTTTTTCTCTGAACTTCTCCTCTCACTTCATTTCATTCATTTGATCTTAAATCACTGATACCCTTTCTTCCACTTCATCAAATCAGCTACTGAAGCTTCTGCATGCAACACATAGTTCTCGTGCCATGGTTTTCAGCTCCATCAGGTCATTTAAGGTCTTCCATGTGCTATTTATTCTAGTTAGCCATTCATCTAATCTTTTTTCAAGGTTTTTAGCTTCTTTGCGATGGGTTTGAATATCCTCCTTTAGCTCAGAGAAGTTTGTTATTACCGATCATCTGAAGCCTTCTTCTCTCAACTTGTCAAAGTCATTCTCTGTCCAGCTTTGTTCCATTGCTGGCGAGGAGCTGCATTCCTCTGGAGGAGAAGAGGTGCCCTGATTTTTAGAATTTTCAGCTTTTCTGCTCTGGTTTCTCCCCATCTTTGTGGTTTTATCCACTTTTGGTCTTTGATGATGGTGACCTACAGATGGGGTTTTGATGTGGGTGTCCTTTCCGTTTGTTAGTTTTCCTTCTAACAGTCAGGACCTTTAGCTGCAGGTCTGTTGGAGTTTGCTGGAGGTCCACTCCAGACCCTGTTTGCCTGGGTACCACCAGCAGAGGCTGCAGAACAGCAAATATTGCAGAATGGCAAATGTTGCTGCCTGATCCTTCCTCTGGAAGCTTCATCTCAGAGGGGCGCCCAGCTGTATGAGGTGTCAGTCGGCCCCTACTGGGAGGTGTCTCCCAACTAGGCTATTTCGGGGTCAGGGATCCACTTGAGAAGGCAGTCTGTCCATTCTCAGATCTCAAACTCCGTGCTGGGAGAACCACTACTCTTTTCAAAGCTGTCAGACAGGGACATTTAAGTCTGCAGAAGTTTCTGTTGCCTTTTGTTCAGCTATGCCCTGCCCCCAGAGGTGGAGTCTACAGAGGCAGGCAGGCCTCCTTGAGCTGCGGTGGGCTGCACCCACTGTCCAACAAGCTCCACTGAGATGAACCCAGTACCTCAGTTGGAAATGCAGGAATCACCCATCTTCTGTGTCGCTCACATTGGGAGCTGTAGACTGGAGCTGTTCCTATTCGGCCATCTTGGAACCTCCCCTGTTTTCTGACTTTTGTCTTCCCCTCACCTTCAAATATGATATATTCATCTAATCAATTATTATATCCCACTCATTTTGGCTTTTAAATATTTCTTGGATTTTATCCCCCCAACCTCTTTGCCTTTCACTTCTGTCCAGTTTCTGGATATTGTTCCTCTTCTGGATAGCCTCCTAATAAAGTCATGGCTTCCAGGATTTCTTTAAATCTTCTGTCTACATGGCCACCAGAGCTACTTACATAAAATGAAAACCTGAACACATTAATTCTCTGCCTAAGAACTTTCACTGGATTCCTATTGATCTACTTCTCTAACCTCATCTCTCACTTGAGCACCACGCATACTTCAAAAAAACTTACTCTTGGCCTTCTCCTTTAACCTTCTGAAAACATCATAAGTCTATGAGTAATTCTTTACACATATCTCTGTACTCTGCTCATGTTATTTTTCTCCTAAGAAAATGCCCTCTTAATGCCTCCCTTTTCTCTCTAATCATTCCTCATTTAATTTCTTTTTTTTTTTTTCTGTTTGAGATTGAGTCTTGCTCTGTCACCCAGGCTGGAGTGCAGTGGCATGATCTTGGTTCACTGCAGCCTCCGCCTCCCAGGTTCAAGCAAGTATCTGCCTCAGCCTCCTGAGTAGCTGGGAGTACAGGCACCCACTACCACCACGCTCAGCTGATTTTTGTATTTCTAGTAGAGATGGGGTTTCACCATCTTGGCCAGGCTGGTCTCAAACACCTGACCTCATGATCTGCCCGCCTCGGCCTCCCAAAGTGCTGGGACTACAGGCGTGAGCCACTGTGCCTGGCCTTCTCATTTAATTTCACTTTCACTTCAGGGCATATCTCAGATACGACCTCCTCCAGAAAGAATTTCTTAAGCATCACTATTGTGCTAGGTTAGATAACTCATCTTCAGCACTCCTGTAGTAGCCACTAATGTTCTTAGATTTTATAATTTGTTATTCTGTGTCTTTTTTCCTCCATTACAATCCAATTTATAGAAAAGGGATTGGCAAACTATAGTCAATGTGCCAAATCTAGTCTACCACCTGTTTTAGTAAATATAGTTGACTATTGAAAGTAAAAATTATTATAATATTGTCTAATAGGGTTCCCAATGGATATATATGCAATATATAAGAAAACCACAACATAAAAGAAACTTATATCAAAGTGTAAGGTTTGAACATTACGCTTGAGATGGTAAAATACTGATTCTAAATAAAAGAATTAAGCATTTATATTTGTAATTCCTAGAGAAACAATTATCAAAATGATAGGATGAGATAGTTTTAAAATAAAGTAAATAAAGTAGAATTTTTTTAAATATTCAATATGAAAGAAAGATAAGGAAGGGAGTAGAGAGAAACCAAATAAATGGGAAACAGGAAACATATAAGAAAATAAAAGACCTAAATCCAAATATGTTAATAATTGTAGTATGTTTAAAGGCTTAATCACAGCAGTTGAAAATCAGTGATTGCTGAGTTCCTACCCCTTCTAATCTTCACTGTGCAGGGCCACCCAACCTTGTATCCCAGCACAGACATCCCATCCTTTACTTAGCTCTGGGGCCAATAGAAGCTTTGCATTTCCCAGGGACAGAGCTCAGAGGTAAAAGACAGGCCTGCCATTTTTGCCCTTCTCTTCTCTCCCACCCCACTGCCCTCAGGATTGGTGGGTAGCGAAGAATTTATGGACTATTACCAGCCTCCAGGACAGCACAGATGCCTTCCAAAATGCAGTCAGACTGTTTTCCACACGAGTCCCTGCCCCTGTTACTCCTCACTGCCCAGGGCCTCTCAACTTGGGCCCCCAGCACAGCTGCCTTACCCTTGTCTACACACTTCAGTCAGTGGTAGCTCTGCCTTTCTCTAGGGAAAAAAGCCCAGAGTCAATCCACAGCCCCTCTGCCACTGCAGCTGCAGAAGTACCATCCATACTGCTCTTGGGCTGGGGAAGGAACTAAGGGCCTGACCACTTCACTGACACCTCTAATATGCCACAGCTGCCATAAAGAGAGGAGCTGAGTCTCTCTTCCCTGTGAGCCCCCACCCACTACGCTTCACCAAGCAGGGCCCCCAGCTCCATCCACAGCACAGCCACCCCACCCAGGACTGAACATTCCCATTGGCAGCAGCTTTGTGTTTCTCCGAGATGGAGCTCCCAGAGGCAACTGAAAGGCCTCTGCCACTGCAGTGGAACTGCCCTTGCTGCCCTTGGACTGGGGAAGGAACAAAGACCCTCAGTGCTTTACTGGCATCTCCAGCATGCTGCAGGTGCCCTGTGGGAAAAAAAGGCCAGTCTGTCTTCCCTCTGAGCCGCTGCAAGCCCCCCACCTTCCTCTGCTTATCATCAGGCTGGACCCCTGGCTTGGGCCCACAATGCAGCCACCCAACCCCAAGCAGATTGTTCCAATTGGCGGTGGTTCTCTGGGGCGGAGTGCCAAGAGACAAGTGAAAGGTCCTCTGTCATTGCCACTGCCAAGGTTCCCACCCCTGCTGTCCCCAAGCTGAAGAGGAAACATAAAGCCTGAGTTTGCCCCAGGGCTTCTGTATGCAGCCTGGAAGTGCCAAGCCAAGATGTGCAGCTAGCACTCAAGTGGGAGAGGAGCCCATACACAGAGCATGGAGAGAGAGCATGACCATAAACACAAAGACACACAGAGGAGCCTTGTGGCTGAGCAACAGCCTACCTACTATCCATTACATGTAAATGCCATCTACTGCATCACAGCCCAAACTTCAAAACCAAAAATACTCTGCTATGTCCCCCTGTTAAACCAAGGACAAGAATTTAGTCACAAATAAAGACCCTGCACAAAGCCTCAGCCCTCTACAAACATCCAGAAAAGAAGTCAACTGACTATACTCAAATGACACCACAGGTAAAGGAACATCAGCCCACACAGATGCCAATGAACCAGCAGAAGAACTCTGACAATACTAAAAGCCAGAGTATCTCCTTTCCTTCAAACGACTGCACTAGCTCCCCAACAGTGGTTCTTAACCAGAAGGAAATAACTGAAATGGCAGAGATAGAATTCAGAATCTGATGACATCAAAGACCACTGAGATTCAGGAGAAATTAAAATCTATTCCAAATAATCTAAAGGATCCAGTAAAATAATTCAAAAAATGAAACACGAAATAGCCATTTTAAAAAAGAACCAAACCAAGAAGATAGAGCCAAAAAGAATTCACAAGAATTTTATAACACAATTGAAAGTATCAACAGCAGAATAGAAAAAGCTGAGAAAAGAATCTCAGAGCTCAAGGACCAGTTCTTCAAATTAACTCAGACAAAAATAGAGAAAAAATAATTTTTAAAAATGAAAAAGACCTCCAAGACATATGGGATTATGTAAAGAAACCAAATCTATGACTCATTGGTGTTCCTGAAAGAGAGGGAGAGAGAGCATGCAACTTAGAAAATATATTTGAGGATACTGTCCATGAAAATTTTCCCAACCTCACTAGAGAGGTTAACATAAAAACTCAGAAAATTCAGAGAACTCCTGTGAGATACAAGACAACTATCCCTGGGAAAAATAGTTATGAGATTCTCCAAGGTTAATATTAAAGAAAAAATATTAAAGGCCGCCAGAGAGAAGGGGCAGGTCACCCTACAAAGGGAAGCCCATCATGCTAACAGAACCCCACTCTGACCTTTCAGCAGAAACCTTATAAGCCAGAGGAGATTGAGGGCCTATATTCAGCATCCTTAACAAAAGAAATTTCAACCATGAATTTCATATCCAGCCAAACTAAGCTCCATAAGAGAAGGAGAAATAAATTCATTTTCAGGCAAGCAAATGCTAAGGGACTTCATTACCACCAGGCATTCCTTACAAGAGGTCCTTAAGGGAGTGCTAAGTATGGAAATCAAAGACTGTTACCAACCACCACAAAAACACACTCCAGTACATAGACCATCAACACTATAAAGCAAATACACAATAAATTCTACATAACAATTAGCTAACAACACAATGGCAGGATCGAATCAAAACATATCAATATTAACCTTGAAAGTAAACAGGTTAAACACCCCATTCAAAAGGCACAGAGTGACTATTGGACATGGAACAAAGACTCACCTGTATGCTGTCTTCAAGAGACCCATCTCACATGTCAGGACACCCACAGAAATACAAAAAAAACACAAAAACCCTCAGAGACTATTATGAATATTTCCATGCATGCAAACTAGAAAATCTAGAATAAATGGATAAATTCCTGCAAACATACAACCTTTCAAGCTTCAACCAGGAAGAAAAGGAAATCCAGAACAGATCAGTAACAAATTCCAAAATTGAACCAGTAATGAAAAGGCTATGGTCGGGCACAGTGGCTCACATCTGTAATCCCAGCACCTTGGGAGGCTGAGGTGGGCAGATCACCTGAGATCAGGAATTCAAGACCAGCCTGACCAACATGGTGAAACCCCGTCTCTACAAAAATACAAAACTTAGCAGGGCATGATGGCAGGTGCCTGTAATCCCAGCTATTCGGGAGGCTGAGGCAGAAGAATTGCATTAACCCAGGAAGGGGAGGTTGCAGTGAGTCAAGACAGTGCCATTCCACTCCAGTCTGGGCAACAGAGTAAGACTCTGTCACACACACACACAAAAAG
Source organism: Homo sapiens (assembly GCF_000001405.40). NCBI lineage: Eukaryota > Metazoa > Chordata > Mammalia > Primates > Hominidae > Homo > Homo sapiens. The sequence continues at coordinate 152,582,080 of NC_000005.10, read as the reverse complement.
ACGAAAAGAAAAGAAAAAGAAAAGGCTACCAACCAGAAAAAGCCCTGGATAAAATGGATTCAAAGCCAAATTCTACCACTTGTATCAAGAAGAGCTGGGTGGCTCACGCTTGTAATCTTAGCACTTTGGGAGGCTGAGTGAGGAGGATCACTTGAGCCCTAGAGTTTGAGACCAGCCTGAGCAATATGGCAATACCGTATCTCTACAAAAATATAATTTAAAAAATATCCAGGTCTAGTGGTACGTGGCTGTTGTTCCAGCCACTAGGGAGGCTGAAGTGGGAGGATGGCTTGAGCCCAGAAGGCCAAGGCTGCAGTGAACCATGTTCATGCCACTGTACTTGAGCCTGGGTTTCAGAGTAAGGCCCTGTCTAAAAAATAGTAATAAAAAAATAGAGAAGCACTGGTGCTGATTCTTTTGAAACCCTCATAAAAAATTGATAAGGAAGGATTCCTCCCTAACTCATTCTATGAGGCTAGTATCATTCTCACACCAAAACCTGCCAGGGACAAAACAAAAAAAGAAAATTTCAGGCCAATATCCCTGATGAACATACATGCAAAAGTCCCCAACAAAATACTAACAAACCAAATATAGTAACAAATCAAAAAACTAGTCAGCCACAATCAAGTAGGCTTTATTCATGGGATGCAAGTTTGGCTCAACATACACAAATCAATAAATGTAATTTACCACATAAACCAAACTAAACACAGAAATCACATGATCATCTCAATAGACATGGAAAAGGATTTTGATAAAATTCAGTATCTCTTGTTAAAAACCCTCAACAAACTAGGCATTAAAGGAACATATCTCAAAATAATAAGGGCCAACTATGACAAACCCATAGCCAACATCACACTGAACAAGCAAAAGCTGGGAGCGTTCCCCTTGAGATCCAAAACAAGACTAGGATGCTGCCTCTCACCATTCCTAGTCAACATAATATTGGGAATCCCAGACAGAGCAATTAGGCAAGAGAAAGAAATAAAAGACATCCAAATAGGAAGAGAGGAAGTCAAACTGTTTGCGATGATATGTTTCTATACCTAGTAAACTCCATAGTCTCTGCCCAAGAGCTCCTAGAACTGATAAACAACTTTGCAAAGTTCCAGTATACAAAATCAAAGTACAAAAATCAGTAGCATTCCTATACACCAACAACGTCCAAGCTGAGAGCCAAATCAAGAATGGAATCCCATTTACAATAGTCAAAAAAAGAATAAAATACCTAAAAATACAGCTAACCAGGGAGGTGAAAGACCTCTACAGAATGAGAATTACAAAACACTGCTGAAAGAAATCAGAGATGACACTAACAAATGAAAAAACATTCCATGCTTATGGATAGGAAGAATCAATATTGTTAAACAGCCATACTGCCCAAAGCAACATATAGATTCAATGCTATTCTTATCAAACTACCAATGATATTTTTTGGATTTAGAAAAAACCATCTAAAATTCACAGGGAACCAAAAAAGAGTCCAAATAGCAAAAGCAATCCTAAGCAAAAAGAAAGCTGGAGGCATCACAGTACCCAACTGCAAACCATACTACAAGACTACAGTAACTAAAACAACATGGTACAAAACAGACACATAGACCAATGCAACAGCTTACAGAACCCAGAAATGAAGCTGCATATCTAAAACCATCTGATTTTTGACAAAGTCAACAAAAACAAGCAATGGAAAAAGGACTCCCTATTCAATAAATGCTGCTGGGATAACTGGCTAGCCACATGTAGAAGAATGAAACTGGATCCCTACTTTTTATAATATGCAAAAATCAACTCAAGATGAATTAAAGGCTTAAATGTAAAACATAAAACCATAAAAACTCTAGAAGAAAATCTAGGAAATACCATTCTGGACATTGGCTCAGACAATGACATCATGACAAAGACTCTAGAAGCAATTGCAACAAAAACAAAAATTGATAAGTGGGACCTAATTAAAGAGCTTCTGCACAGCAAAAGAAACTATCAAAAGAGCAAACAGATAACCTACAAAATAGGAGAAAATATTTGCAAACTATGCATCTGACAAAGGTCCAATATCCAGAATCTATAAGGAATTCAAACAAATCAACAAACAAAAAACAAATAACCCCATGGAAAAATCAGTAAAAGACATGAACAGACACTTCTCAAAAGATGACATGCATGTGGTCAACATGTGTATGAAAACAAAATGTTCAATATCAGTCATTAGGGAAACGCAAATCAAAACCACAATGTGATACTGTCTCACACCAGTCATAATGGTTATTATTAAGAAGTCAAAAAATAACAAATGCTGGCAAGGTTGCAGAGAAAAGGGAATGCTTATACACTGCTAAGTGGTAATTTAAGTTAGTTCAGCCACTGTGGAAAGCAGTCTGATATTTCTTGAAGAAGTTAAAATAGAACTGCCATTCAATCCAGCAATTCTACTAATGAGTATATACCTGAAGGAATATAAATCATTCTCCCATAAAGACACATGCATGTGTATGTTCACTGCAACATACACATGCTATTCACAATAGCAAAGACATCGAATTAACCTAAATGTCCATCAATGGTGAACTAGATAAAGAAAATGTGGTACATACATACCATGGAATACTATGCAGCTATAAAAAAATAAGATCATGGTCTTTTCAGCAACATGGATGGGCTGGAGACCATTTTTCTAAGCAAATTAACACAGGAACATAAAACCAAATGCTTCATGTTCTCATTTATAAGTGGGAGCTAAACAGAGTACACATGGACACAAAGAAGAGAACAGTAGACACTGGAGCCAACTCAAAGATAGAGGGTAGGAGGAGGGTGAGGATTGACAAACCATGTATTGGGCACTATGCTAATTACCTGGGTAACAAAATTATCTGTATACCGAACCTCTGCAATGCACAATTAGCCTATATAACAAACCTGCATATGTACCCATTGAACCTAAAAGTTAGAAATTTTTTTAAAAAGAAGAAAAATCAATGATTGTCAGAATGTATATAAAAGAATTACTATATCTACAAAAAACGTACTTCAAATATAATGACATAGAAAAGTTAAAATCAAACGGATGAAAAATACATATACTGCACAAACATTAAAAGCAGGCTAGAGAGGTTATATTAGTATCAAATAAATTAAACATCAGAGCAAAGCAAATTAACAGGAAAAAAGAGGACCATTACATAATGATAACAGGGCTACTAATCAGCAAGAAATAACAATCCTAATTACATACACACTCAATAATAGAACTTTAAAAGACATGAAGCAAAAACTCATACAACTGAAAAAACAGACAGATTTGCAATTATTGTTGGAGATATCAACAGTTTTCTCTTAGCAATAGAACTAATAGACTGTAATTTGTTAGAATACAGAAGAATTGGACAACATCATTAGTCAATTGAATGAATCTCACTGCAACTTTGAAACTCTTTATCCAAAAGCAGCAGAACACATTCTTTTCAAGTATACACAGAACATTCATCAAAATAGACATATCTCAGGCTTAGCAAATTAAAAGAATTAAAATCATATGAAACATTTTCTATGACTATAATAGAAATAAACTAGTATTAAATTACTGAACAATAACAGAAAAATATCCACTTAGAAATGAAACCTGCACGTTGTGCACATGTACCCCAGAACTTAAAGTATAATTTAAAAAAAATAATAATATACTTGTAAATACTTCATGAATCAGTCTCCAAGGAAATTAGAAAATATTGTGAACAAACATTGGTAAGTGGGAACTTACCATACTCTCAAAAATGAAAGTATGATTTTGCAAAATTTATGCAATTCAGCTAAAGCTGTGCTAAGAGTTAAGTGTATAGCATTAAATGCTTACACTGGAAAAGGCAAATGGTCTCAAACCAGAAATCCAAACTTCTATTTAAGGAAATAAAAAAAATTAAAAAAATTAAGAGTAAGCCTAAAGGAGGAAATAATAAAGGTAAGAGCAAAGTCAATGAAACATAAAACAAAGAGAAAATAAATGACACTAAAAGTTAGTTTACAAATTATTTGGAATCAAAGAGGAAATAGCAGTACAGACAAAAGACATTAAAATAAAATAAGGAAATAATACAAACAGCTCTATACACATAAATTCAAAAATGTAAATAAAATTGACCCATTCCTCAGAAAACATGAATTACCAAATAAATGAAACAGATAACCTGTATAGCTTTATAACTACTTTTTTAAATGAATTCATAGTTGAAACTCTTTAGAAAAAAATTCCCAGGCCCAAATGGTTTCACTGGTGAATTTACCAAATATTAAAAGAGCAGATAATATCAATTTTACATATTATTTCTGGAAAACTGAAGATAAGGCTACCACTTTTCCATTTATCCTGTAGGATCTGCATTGCCTTAATATTAACTACAGACAATGACAGTCCAGGAAAAGAAAATTAAAAACCAATAATTCTGATGAACATACACATGAAAATCCTGCACCAAATATTAACAAAGCCAACTCAATAATATATAAAAAGAACGGTGCACCACAAGTAAGTGGGCCTTGTCACAGGAATGCACTTTTGTTGCAATATTTGAAAATAATTCAATGTAATCTACTATATCAACAGTCCAAAGGGAAAAAAACCTATAGGATAACAAAATTGACAGAACAATCATTTAAAAAATCATCATCCATTCATGCTAACAGTCTAAGCAAAGTAAAAATAGAAGAAAACTTCCTCATCCTAACAGAAGGTTTAAAAAATAAAAATAAAAAAATTGTAAAGCCTACCACTACCCTAATATATAATGGTAAAACACAGAATGTTCTCCCCCTCAGATTGGGAATATAGCAAGGATATCTACTCTCACCACTTCTCTTCAACATCATCCTAGAAGTCTTAGTCAGTGAAATAAGCTAAGAATAAGAAATAAAAGTAATGTACATTGTAAAGGAAGATAATTGAGAAAATTCTAAGCATCCATAATAATTTCTAAGAAGTAATAATTGATTTTAGCTAGGTCACACGACACAAGGTCAACACACAAAAATCAATAGTATTTCTACATATTAAGAATGAGCAATTGAAAACAGAACTTTTTAATGCATCAAAGTTCCAAAATAATAATATACTTATGTAAAATATAATAAAACATGTGCAATAGCTGTATGCTGAAAACTACAAAATGCTGATAAATCAAAGAAAATCTAGGTAAATGGAGAAAGATAGCATGTTTATGGATTGGAAGACATCCTATATAGATGTTAGTTTTCCCCAAATTGACCTATAGACAACACAATTCCAAATAAATCTCAGCAGAATTGTCTATAGATATAGGGAAGCTTATTTTAAAGTTTACATGAAAAGATACAGCAATAAAGACAGCCAAAATAAATATGAATTAAAAAAATAAAGTCAGAGAAGTCACACTAGCAGATTTTAAGCTTATGGAGCTACAGTAATCAAGACAGCATGGTATTGACAAAAGTATAGACCAATAGAACAAAATAAACAATCCAGAAGCATGTCAGCACAAATATGGCTGATTCTTGACAAAGGTGCATGGGCAAATCAATGAAAGATGCGTTTTTTTCAATGAATAATGTTAAAGCAACTGGGCAGCCATTTACCAAAAAAAAAAAAAAAAAAAAAAAAAAAACCTTGACTTAAATCTTACATCTTATATAAAAATTAACCAAAATGGATTATAGGTCTAAGTGTACAATATAAAACTATTTTTCTTTCAGAAGAAAACATAGGAGAAAATCTTCATCATCTTGGATGAGACAGAGTTATTTTTAAAAATAATGTTATTTATATAATTGAATGAATTATTTTTAAATCAAATAATATTGATATATTAGTAATCACTGATTGTAAGTTAATTAGTTTTATAGAACTATAATATATAAATTTGTGATATATTATTTACATAAAATTCACCCATGGTACACAATTTGAAGAACTTTAATATGTTCACAGAGTTTGAAACTCTTTCTACAATCTAATTTTAGGACATTTTCACCAGCATAAAAAACTTTATACCTATTTGCAACCCTTCCCATTCCTCCTCACCATTTAGCTCTAGGCATCCATTAATCTCCTTTCTTAGCAAAGAATTACTGTACAACTTTAGATGCATGATTCATAGAAGAAAATATGGACAAATTGTACTTCATAAAAATTAACAATTTCTGTTCTGCATAGGGCACTATGAGAAGATTAAGCTGAGAGGTAACAATTGCAAATTACACATCTAACAACTTAAATACAGAATATACTGAGAACTTTCTAAACTCAACAGTAAGAAAACAAACAGCCCAATCGGTCAGCCAGGTGTGGTGGCTCATGCCTGCAATCCCAGCACTTTTGGAGGGTGAGGAGGCAGGATTTCTTGAGGCCAGAAGTTCAAGACCAGCCCGGGCAACATAGTAAGACCCCATATCTACAAAACTAAAAAAGTTAGCTGGGCGTGATGACTAGCATCTGTAATCCCAGCTATTCAGAAGTCTGACATGGGAGAATCACTTGAGCCTAAGAGTTTGACGTTTTAGTGAGTCATGATCTCACCTCTGCACTCCAGCCTAGGCAACAGGAAGAGACCCCAAATCTGAAAAGATGGTCAAATATCAAAATAATGGATATTTCACAAAGAGGATATTTGGATGACAAATATGCACACAAAAGACTGATAGCTATTATGGAAACACAAGTTAAAACTACAATGAGATATCACTTCATGTCTACTAGAATGGTTAAAATTAAAAATACTAAGAAAACCAAATGCTGATGAGGATGGCAAACAACCACAATTCTCATATATTTTTGGTGAAGATGAAAAATAATACAGTCACTTGAAATCCATTTTTCAGTTTCTTAAGTTGAACATACATTTACCATATGTCCCATAAATCCCACTCCTGGATATTTACTCTAGAGAAATGAAAACTTACATTCACAAAAACAAATCTCTACACAAATGTTTATAGGAGCTCTATTCACAATCAACAAAGAATAAAAAATCCAAATGTTCTTCAGTAGGTGAATAAACTCTGTTTCATCCATACAATGGAGTACTACTATTTTTTAAAAAAAAAAAACAAAAATAAAAAATAAAACTATTGATATAGGCAACAAATTAAATGAATCTCAAAGCTATACTGAATGAAAGAAGCCAGTCTCAAAAGCTTATATTGTATACAATTTCATTTGTATATCATTCTTATAAAGACTAAATTATAATGACACAGAATAGATCAGTGGTTGCCAGGGATTAGGAGTTTAGGGAAGGTGTGAGTACAAAGGGATAATATGAGGTCATTTTATAATGTAATAGTACTGTTATATATCCTGATTTTGGCAATAGTTACATGAATCTAAACATAGGCTCATAGAACTATACACATAATAAAGGTAAATTTTATGTTGTATTAAAAATTAAACACAAAAATAGAAAATAAATGACAAGCAAAGGGCTATCAAATATGGAAAACTTACCATGTGCTTCTCCCACTTGTCTGTGTACCTCCCCTCAAATCAAATAAAAGCTTAATATTTTTCTTCCACAATGCTGTGCTTTTATTCACTTATTTAGTAAAGACTTACATAGCACTTACTATGTGAACAAGGGGGTAAGGCTAGAAAAGACATGGGAAGTTCTATGGAAGAGGTAGCATATTAACTGAATTCTGAGATACAATTTTATTGAGAAGAGATGGAGGAAATACTTTGGGTATCTTCCTATTTGAAAGCTGAAAATCATCTGACTATTTAAGGAATGCCCAGTTTGAGCCTAGAATAGAGATAATTTGGAGATGAAACAAAAAGACTGAGATAGGTCAAGAAAACCTTGAATGCTGGTGTATTAGTCTGTCCTCATGCTGCTAATAAAGACATATCTGAGACTGGATACTTTATAAAGGAAAGAGGGTTCATTGACTCATAGTTCCACATGGCTGGGGAGGCCTCACAATCATGACAATGCGAATGAGGAGCAAAGTTACATCTTACATGGCAGCAGGCAAGAGAGCTTGTGTAGGGGAACTCCCCTTTATAAAATCATCAGATCTTGTGAAACTTATTCATTATCAATGGAATAACATGGGAAACATTTGTTCTCATGATTTAATTACCTCCCACCGGGTCCCTCCCATGACACATGAGAATTATGGGAGATACTGTTTAAGATAAGATTTGCGTGGGGACACAGCCAAACCATATCATTCCATCCCTGGCCCTTCCCAAATCTCATGTCTTCACATTTCAAAACCAATCATGCCTTCCCAACAGTCCCCCAAAGTCTTAACTCATTTTAGCATTAACTCAAAAGTCCACAGTCCAAAGTCTCATCTGAGACAAGGAAAATCCTTTCTGCCTATGAGCCTGTAAAATCAAAAGCAAGTTAGTTACTTCCTAGATACAATGGGGCTATAGGCATTGGGTAAATACACTTAAATTGGCCAAAACGAAGGTGCTACAGACCTTATGCAAGTCTGAAATCCAGTGGGGCAGTCAAATCTTAAAGCTCCAAAATAATCTCCTTTGAATCCATATCTCATATCCAGGTCAGGTTGATGCAAGAGGTGGGCTCCCAAAGCAGCTCCACCCCTGTGACTTTGCAGGGTACAGCTCCCCTCCTGGTTGCTTTCATGGGCTGTCATTGAGTGTCTGTGGCTTTTCCAGGTGCACAGTGTGAGCTGTCAGTGGATCTACCATTCTGGGGTCTGGAAGATGGTGGCCCTCTTCTCACAGCTCCACTAGGCAGTACCCCAGTGTGGACTGTGTGGGGGGTCTCCAACCCCACATTTCCCTTATGCACTGCCCTATCAGAGGTTCTTATGAAGGCCCCACTCCTGCAGCAAACTTATGCCTGGACATCCAGGCATTTCCATACATCCTCTGAAATATAAGTGAAGGTTCCCAAACATCAATTTTTGGCTTCTGTGCACCCACAGGACCAACACCACGTGGGAGCTGCCAAGGCTTGGGGCTTGCACCCTCTGAAGCCATGGTCCAAGCTATATTTTGGCCCCTTTTAGCCATGGCTGGAGCAGCTGGGTTGCAGGCACCAAGTCCCTAGGCTGTGTAGCAGGGGCGCCCTGGCCCAGGCACATGAAATGGTTATTTTTTCCTACTAGGCCTACAGGCCTGTGATGGGTGGTCCTGCCATGAAAGTCTCTAACATGCCCTAGAGATATTTTTTCCAATGTCTTGGTGATTAACATTTGGCTTCTTGTTACTTACGCAAATTTCTGCAGCCAGCTTGAATTTCTCTTCAAAATATGGGGTTTCTTTTCTATTGCATCATCAGGCTGCAAATTTTCTTTTTTATTATTTTTTATTATTATTATACTTTAAGTTCTAGGGTACATGTGCACAACGTGCAGGTTTGTTACATATGTATACATGTGCCATGCTGGTGTGCTGCACCCACTAACTCCTCATTTACATTAGGTGTATCTCCTAAAGCTATCCCTCCCCCCTCCCCCACCCCACAACAGGCCCGGGTGTGTGATGTTCCCCATCCTGTGTCCAAGTGTTCTCATTGTTCAATTCCCACCTATGAGTGAGAACATGTGGTGTTTGGTTTTCTGCCCTTGCAATAGTTTGCTCAGAATGATGGTTTCCAGCTTCATCCATGTCCCTACAAGGGACATGAACTCATCCTTTTTTATGGCTGCATAGTATTCCATGGTGTATGTGTGCCACATTTTCTTAATCGAGTCTATCATTGATGGACATTTGGGTTGGTTCCAAGTCTTTGCTATTGTGAATAGTGCCACAATAAACATATGTGTGCATGTGTCTTTATAGCAGCATGATTTATAATCCTTTGGGTATATATCCAGTAATGGGATGGCTGGGTCAAATGGTATTTCTAGTTCAGGCTGCAAATTTTCTAAACGGTTATGCTCTGCTAGCTCTTAAAAGCTTTGCTGCTTAGGAATTTCTTCTGCCAGATACCCTAAATCATTTCCCTCAAGTTAAAAGTTCCACAGATCTCTGGGGTAGGGGCAAATTGCCACCAGTCTCTATGCATAGCAAGAGAGATCTTTACTCCAGTTCCCAACAAGTTCCTCATCTCCATCTGAGACCATCTCACCCTGGACTTCATTGTCCATATCACTATCAACATTTTGGTCGAAGCCATTCAACAAGTCTCTAGAAAGTTCCAAACTTTTGCACATCTTCCTGTCTTCTTCTGAGCCTTTCAAATTGCTCCAACCTCTGCCTGTTACCCAGTTCCAAAGTCACTTCCACATTTTCAGGTATCTTTACAGCAGCACCCCACTCTACTGGTAACAATTTACTGTATTAGTCTGTTCTCATGCTGCTAATAAAGACATACCTGAGACTGGGTAATTTATAAAGAAAAGAAGTTTAACTGACTCACAGTTCCACGTGGCTGGGGAGGCCTCACAATCATGGCAGAAGGTGAATGAGGAGCAAAGTCACATCTCACATGGCAGCAGGCCAGAGAGCTTGTGTAGGGGAAATCTCCTTTATAAAACCATCAGATCTCATGAGACTTATCCATTAACACAAGAACAGCACGGGGAAGACTTGTCCACGTGATTCAATACCTCCCACCGGATTCCTCCCACACCATATGGGAATTATGGGAGCTAAAATTCAAGGTGAGATTTGGGCAGGGACATAGCCAAACCATATCACAGGGCAAAAGACTCCCTATATAATTTATATCTTATCTACTTGCCAATAAAGATCATCTCATACCCTGTCTGTTTCTTAGCCTCATCAAGTGGGCCTCATTTAAAAAAGATTTTGCATCATTAAAGCCAACTTTACGGGTTAGAAGATGGATTTCAGTATGTTTTTCAACACTGATTTACCATACAAACTTTGGCAAATTAGTTCAGCATCCCCTTTTACCATGCATAACATACAATAAATTTTGCCAGCCTTTCCTATTTTATGAAGCTTATCTGATAAACAAACCTGATGATTACTATGAAATAAATTTTTAAAGCACAGTGTAAAACATTTTCTCAACATGTAGTCCTTAAGTCAGTACCATTAGCACAACCTGAGAACTTAATAGAAATGAAAATTCTCATGCTCCACCCCTGACTTACTGAATCAGAAATGCCGGGGGAGAGGTGCAGGGGCTGGCAGTTTGCAATATCATTTTAACATGCCATCTTGGTTATTCTGATACACTATAAAGTTTGACAACCACTGACATAAAATATTATGCAAATGTATCTAAGTGCTATTAAACTCAAACTGTGCATGCTTTAGTCCACTCTGAACATCACAGTCTCACAAAAGGAAAATGCCTTACTTGTAGCCAGAAAATCAGATATTCTTCATTAGCATTTTTTTTACAACTCATGAAGTTATCCAAAGCTTATTTTCCTAAGGAATAATTACTTTCAGAAATATTCGGCACTCTATATAAGAAGGACCAAGAATAATTTCTTCAAAGGAAAGAAAATAGAAAATTTTTCTTCATTAATTTGTATTTTGATAAAACAATTTTGCTTGGGAGAATTGATGTCAGCACACTGACCTGCAGTCACAATAAATTTGTGTCAATTTACTCAATGATTCATCTCCAATGTCAGCATTTTCCCCTATACCCAAATGTTCTTATCCATTATAAATTCCTGCTGCAAAAAGGATAAACAATAAAGACATTGGTAGTCAGAGGAAAAACACAAATAACAGCCAGGTAGTTAGGACATTTTTCTCTCTCAGAAAAAAAAATAATTAAAATATATTTCTGTATATTTCAACAGGAGATATTAAGGTATTACCAGAATAAATAATTTAATAGACTACCTAGTGCTTCATTCAACTAAACAACTAGAAATCTATGAACTTGCTAATGCTTTTAAATCTGTATCCTTTTTCACTGATCCAGATCCCATTTTTCTATGGCTTGCTTGGTTCAAGCTATCACCATCATCATCAATATCATTATCATTTTTGCCCTAAGACTGAGATGTCCCTGTAAGTCAACCTGTCAGGATGAGCTGTATGTGAACATTCAAATTTAGAAGGCAGTTGTCTTTGAAAACAGCTTCTATTAGGGTGTAAGTAAAACAACATGGGCTGGGTGTGGTGGCTCACGCCTGTAATACCAGCACTTTGGAAGGCCAAGGCGGGAGGATCACCCGAGGTCAGGAGTTTGAGACGAGCCTGGCCAACAGGGTGAAACCCCGTCTCTACTAAAAATACAAAAATTAGCAAGGCATGGTGGCCTGTGCCTGTAATCCCAGCTACTTGGGAGACTGAGGCAAGAGAATCACTTGAACCCAGGGGTCGGAGGTTGCAGTGAGCTGAGATCATGCCAGCGCACTCCTGCCTGGGTGACAAGAGCAAGACTTTCTCTCAAAAAAAAAAAAAAAAGAAAAAGAAAAAAGAAAAACAACATGTGACAAGTTGACTGGTTGACTGACCAACTTCCAAGTTTAGCCATTGGCTGACTATGCGATTCTAATTAAATCCTTGGGTTTCAATTTTCTATCTATAAAAGAGGAACTAATGACTTCCATAGAAAGGGGTCTCATTCCCTCCTTTCCATAACCAAGTACTTTCTTTTAATGCCTCCTGTTTTCCACAAAACATCCCATTCCTCATTCTGCCCACATTAGCCCTGTCTCCAAAAGAAATAAATTTGATAAACTCATTACTATTTAGGGCAGAGGTCATAAATTCAAGCGTATGAAGGTTAATAAAGTTATCACAATGCTTTCTGGGTATACAAAAATATGTACTAAGCACTTGTTCTATTACTAAATGAAACACTATTTCATTGCAATGCTTTTAAAAACCTATGAGAGTATATGTAACAAAATGCTCAGTCAAAAAATCTGTACTAGTTGAAAAATTTTGAAACCACCAATTTGCATCCTTTAGTTTAATTCTTTAGTATGTCATACTACCGTGAAGGATTATACAGTTAAAATAAAAGATTACTATATAGGAAAAATGATACTTGACATGACCCACTACTGATAATTTAAATCTTGTCTGCTTGTCAAAGACCATCTCAAATGTCATTTTCTACATCTCACATTTTTGTTTTTCTACCAAATATATAATCTCTCTCTCTCTCTCTGTCTGGTTTACATTCCTATTAAACTGTCTGTACCTCTCAATAAAGGAATTAGTTTATTCTATATAATATGTCACCTGTTATACTTTATATTATTTTGTAATCTGACATCAGGGAATGTGTGTTATTGCAGTTTAGCTCCACTATAATTTAAATCTGTGCCTGGAACATTTCCAAATCACCCTCAAAGATGATACTGCTAACACTGGAATTTTATTCATTGAGTTAAAATACCTACACATAAGCAACTACCTATTCTTGCCCAAACATAAGCACAAACCAAAGTCACCTACAGTGTTATAGATTTCCACTCACACATTTCCATGAAGTCACATTCCTGTGCTCTACAGATTTCAGTATCTTTTATCCATATGATTTTATTATGAAGAAAAAGACAGACATTAAAAAGAAAAAAAAAAAAGCCTGCCTGGGTTGATAGATTTGAAAAGAAGAAGCAAGACACAAAACTTTTCAAACACTATAGAACACTGATTCATGTCTAAAATGTTTTTCCTTAAGTCCTTATTTACTAGAAGTTATTGTCAGGCTGTGATTAAACACATTGATCACTAACTCCTCCCTGTTAACAAGACTAGCAATCAGTCCTCTTAGAAGAAGTCTGATTGCCCCCATTGTGAAGGCCTAAATATTCCAGATGGCTTTGCACAGATTCTTGGGTTTTGTCCAGTTCCACGGACAGCTCCACTTATTCATCCACAATAGCCTGTGTACAAGTCCTCCCCAGAAGTATTATTATGCATCCTTTGTCTAACAGTTGTCACAAGCCTGAGTATATAGTTTTCTCTTCCACTAAGAGATACAGTGGCATTTTTGGATTCAACATCCACATTTCATGTGCATTAGACCTCTCTCTGAACCATCGCCAAGTTATATAGCAAGCTGTTTGATGAAGTACATAAGTCAATGACAAAAAAATAATTTCTTCCAAATCACAAGAGAGCCTCAAACTTGGCATCTTGTTTTTTATCTAGTGACTGAGAGCTTTTATGAGTCATTATTACTGTGTTTTTTTTAAAGTATCATCATCATTATTAGGGTGTCATTGCTGGGAGAAAGAAAAGAGAAGAAAAAATAGATTTCAAAACTATCATTGGCAAAGCATACAATGTTAGATGAGGAAAGAATTGTTGCTTAGGATTTTGGTGAAAGTAAGTGCTTTTCCAATACTTATTTGTTTCAATAGGGAGAAAAATAATCCCAGAAATCATAGTTTCTGTACTACATATGAAATATTGGCACCCATTGTCAGATCACAAAGGCTTAGCACTTCTGTCGCTCCCAAGAATGTCAGACACACTAAGGTCAATGAGCCTCTACCCCCTCCCTCTAGTGTCTCTAACTTAAGGAGGAAATCAGTTTCCCCACTGGCCTCGTATTTGCTTCAAGTATCCTTGTAAAAAGATCCATTTGCGTTGTACTTTTCATTTCAGGTGTTAATAAAGAACCTGGTAAATCCTCCAATAGCTGCCTTTGATTCAATCTAAAGTTGCTCACAGTAGAAATAATGGCATGAATTACTTCAGGACCTGAACTAACACCATATTTCTATGCAAACAAGGAGTTAAAGTAGATTAGAAATCTTACTCATTCCAAAGCTGTATAGATCAGTTCATGTGATCTGATATGTAACTATTGATAATGCTTCCATGCCTGGTCAATTTGTCCTTGAATATGGTTAAAAGAGAATATATTTTAGCCTTGATGTTATTACTAGCTCAACGTATAATGCTGAATAGATGATGCTTTCTTCCCCACAAACATCTCCTCTATAAGATGACAGGTTTAAACAAGATGAGCTCCAAGATTCTAAAATTTTGTGAAATGGCACAATTTCTTGATCAATTTTAGGCCTCTCTCAGTTTCCTTATTTACAAAGGTAATTAAAGATGTCTTGTGTACTGCTCAGATCAAAAGGCAGATGATTAATATAAAATTCCAGAATTACTTTAGCTAGATACCTCACTATATTTATTTTTACAGTGTTACATTACACCAATGGCCAATAATTTGTAGCAATAAATGTAAGGCCTCTGGAGTTAAGACTGTCATGTTCAGATGTCAGATTACTTATAAACTAAGTTACTCGCAACCTCTCTCAACACAAATTTCCTCATTTGTAAAAGAATAGGAGGAGGAAGAGGAGACGGGGACATTTGATACCAGCACTAAATGAGAAAATCTTTTCAAAGCAGTTATCATAGTTT
The DNA here is from genome assembly GCF_000001405.40 of Homo sapiens. NCBI lineage: Eukaryota > Metazoa > Chordata > Mammalia > Primates > Hominidae > Homo > Homo sapiens. Next base: position 152,566,791 of record NC_000005.10, on the reverse strand, counting down.
CTGACATTTAGCAAACACCCAAAATTAATAATTATTACTAATTTTAGAGATGGGATCATCAGCATGGTAGGGGTAAAGTCAAGAAACTAGGTTACAACAACAAAACCGATAGAAGCAGCAACTACTTCAGCCATACTGAGCATTTGCCAGGTACCAGGACTGTGCTAAGTGTTTCATTTTCTTATTTGAGCACCTCTTCTTCACTTTACTAATGATCATCTTGCAAAGACAGGTCATTTTAAGGTTATTTTATAAATAGAATTATCTATTAGAAAACATTTTCATACGTCCTCTCTCATTTGATTCTAGAAACAACCCAGTGGCTTTTGAAGCGATTTTTAATTCCCATTTTGCAGAATCAGAAATATTGAGACAAGTGGAAAAGTTAGTAAATATTAGAGCAGGTCTCCTGATTTCCAGTCATCCTGCCCTTCTGCCTCCCACTGCAAAGACACTCTAGGTGAGCAAATGGCATTGGGCTAATTACTGATGGGCACTGAAATGGGAAGGATGCCTCACTGAGGAAATCTGAGTAGATGCAGAGCTGGATGTCTTTTGAATCCCTCCCCTGCCACAAGTCTATCTGGCCACAGAGTTATTTTATTCATCAGATGCCAGAGGGTTGAATTTTTATGCAACTGCAATACTGGGTTGGCTGGCTAGAAGAGGGCTAATAAAAATTGCATGAAGTTTGGAGTAGGCTGGGGTGGGTGGCAGGAGTCTCCCTGCTGACTTGGCCTTTGCTGCATGAAAGAGAAAGCTCAGCCTCAGTAAGCTCCATGTACATCCTAGAGAAATTCTTTTGACAAAAATATAAACCTTCCTTATGAAGGGAAATTCATGAATATACAAAGGCCAGAGAAACTGACTATACATTTTTTTTTCTTTAGAAGGTAATGTGACAAATAGAAACTCTCTATTTTCCCTTTGCTCATTCAAGATATATTCAATTCCTACTTTATATCTAACTGTATTGCTAGGCACTGGGAAACACATAGAATAAACGTAGATTCTTATGCTCAAATAATTAAATATATTTAGTACCAATGCTGGGCTATGAAAAATACAAAAAGATGGTGCCCATTTAAGGAACTCAATGGGAGAGTTGACACCACCAACAAACAACAGTACTATTAGTACTACAAGACCAGTGCTACTGGAGGTGGGCTCTAATAAGCGGCATAATAGAGATGGTTTAGCACTGTAGGAGGAGGAAGGAGAGAGGCATTGCAATGGTGATAGTCTGGAAGGCTTCACAAAGGAGTTGATATTTTAGATATGCCAGTGAGAATGTTTCAATATTGTAGTATTTCAGGAAGAAATGAGACTCATAGAAAAGCTGAGGCATTCAAGGAAGGCTTCCTGGTGGAGACAGGTCCCCCACTTAGAAATTTCCACTTTTTCTTTAAGACAACATCTTAATAGAATCTACTGGGAAGCTAGTGGAATCAGTAGAGTAAGAGGAATGTGATTATTGTGAATGCCATACAGCAAAAGCAGAACATTGATGCAGTAAAGCATAGCATGTAAGAGCTGGCCCTGCAAGTCAGACCCTTGTACCTTCAAATTTCAGTACCACATTTTCTGAGATTTGTGAGCTTGATTAATTAAAGTAAAGTCTTTGAACTTCAGTTTTTTCAACTGTAAAAGGAGATAATACAACTTAGGGTTGATGAAAACCCACTGGTAAGCTTTTAATAGTATTTAAAGTGCAAAGATACATAGTATTTAGAGAAAGAAAAAGAGAAGAGTACTGATTGGTGTTCAGGACATAGTGGATGATTAGGTTCATAGGAATAAAAAGTAGACAAGAAAGGGAGAAATAATTCAAGTCGAATTATTTTACTTGATATGAACTTTTTGGGAAATGCTCATCGTTTTAGGTATAGGTAATACATCATTAAAACAAAGAATCAAATAGAGGAGAAGAATGGTGAAAAGTAAGCATTATTCCCTGTTTATCTTGAGCTCTTTAATTGATACTTTTGGCCACTCTAACAAAAGTGGTCAGTGATCACTGGCCAAAAGCATATTATTTGCATAATAAAGCATGAATTTAAACTAGCCTTTGCCATACAGGGAAGTAAGTTATATCAGGGTGCCCTGTGAAGGCAGCCCTGTGTATGGAAAAAGCATGAAAGGCTTAGCAAAGGTGAAAATTACAGTAAATCAAAACTTGATTCTTCCCAATGCTCTGTTTCTGAAAACTTTAGGTTTATCTTTGACTCTTTGCTTTCTTATCCCACATCTATTTCATCAGAGGGTATCATCTACTTTGCTTTTAAAATGTGTCCAGAATCTGACAACATTTTTTCACCTCTAAGGCTATCACTTTAGTCCAAGCCACCATGCTCTCTCAAGGCAGCATAACAACGGTCTTTGGTCTGCCTTTCCCACACTTATCCCTCTCAAGTCTCTTTTTCACATAATCGCTAGACAGATAGCTCAAAATCATATCAGATCATGTCACTCCTTTACTCACATTCCCCAAAGGCTTCCCGCTTACTCAGTTTAAAAAAAAAAAAAAAAAAAAAAAAAAAACAGGCCTATGTTATTTGACCCCATTACCTGCCCCTCTCCTTCCTGCTTGATCTCTTCCAGCTATCAGCTATGCTGGCTTCTTTGCCACTTCACAAGCACACCTAGCACCCTTCTCAAGGCCTTTATACCTAATTTTTCTTTTGCTGGATCATACTTCTTTTAGGTAACATCATGGTTTACTCTCTCACCTTATTCAGGCTCTAATAAAATAGGACCAACCCTATTGCTGTCTCTTTCCACCTTTGCTTTTTGTTTTCATAGCATTTATCACCAGCTGATGTAGTAAATATATTATTTTTGATTACTTATTTTCCCCCACCAGACTGAAACTTCATAAGGACTAACACTTCGTTTTGTTCTCTGCTGTATTCCCAGTGCCCAGGCTGTATACTCAATATGTTTTTTGTTGAGTAAATAACTACAGAGTCAGCCTTAGGAACTAAGTGTGGTACTTTATTGGTCTGTTCTCACACTGCTGATAAAGACATACCAGAGACTGGGTAATTTATAGAGAAAAAGAGGTTTAATGGACTCCCAGTTCCATGTGGCTGGGGAGGCCTCACAATCATGGTGGAAAGCAGAGGAGGAGCAAAGTCACATCTTACATGGTGGGAAGCAAGAGATAACTTGTGCAGGGAAACTCCCATTCAGAAAGCCATCAGATCTCATGAGACTTATTTACTACCATGAGAACAGTATGGGGGAAACCACCACCATGATTCAATTATCTCCACCTGACCCCACCCTTGACACATGGGGATTATTACAATTCAGGTGAGACTTGGGTGGGGACACAGCCAAACCGTATCAGGTACCTTAACTCCCTTATCATCTAACTTCAACCTTGGAATACTAAAGACCCATCAACCATGTAATAAAAAAATATATTTGAAGATATTACTGTTTATTGACTTAACACTAAAATGAGATGCTAAAAATGGAAATGTTTATAAATATACAAATCAATATCAAGGAAAAGCTGTGATATTAAATACATCCTAGGTTATTGGATCCTACCTACCCTATGCTGATTTTTATTAAAGAAAGCAGAAAAGGAATTGCAAGCCCCAAGTTGAAAATGAGAAAAAATTAAACTGAGAGCTCCTAGTTTAAGAGCTACTTCATAAATATAAAATCAATTTTTACCTCATTAAAAGTAATGATCAACATTTGCCATAAAGTTACTACTGAAGCAATTATACCCACTCATCTGCTATTTTATTTTATAAGTGTATTAATCTTATGAAAGTATTGTGGAAGTATAAAGTGGCATATAGCCAAACTATTTGAATGTGTTTCATATTTAATTTATCATATGATGGGGAAAAACATGTCCCTAGCCTGAACTCCTATTTCTATGAATAGTATTACTTTGACTGAGAGCTATGTAGATATTTCAGATTTTTTAAAAGTGAAAAGAAAGAAAAATATTAAGTAAATAATAGTAGATGTGTTATCTGGCTGTGGCAAAAAAAGTGAAGGTTGTTTTTGAGTTACTGAAGTATAGAATATACTGACACATAGTATTTCATTTTAGCCTTATACTAGTCCTGTGAAGAAGGTACTATTAATCCCATTTTTTTTTTTCAGTACAATATTGATACTCAGAGAGATGAGAACTACTCAAGGTCTCCTAGCTAGTGTTTTGCAGAATCGAGACTAACATCAAGTCCCCTGACAACATATTTGGTATCCTTTCTACTACTCCACATAACCAAAGGTCTCTTCCATCTCAAAACAAACAGTGATTGTCAAGAATTAGATCAGGATTACAAATGGACAAGTTATACTCTGGATCTGGCCCACAGAGGGGTTTTGTTCATCCCATGTTCTACTTTTTATAAAATTTATGCTTGTCACCAACACTTTTTACAAACCAAGAAATTGGGCATATTTTTTTTTCTAGCTTTATTTGAAAAATTCAGCAAGTCAGGAAATAAATGGAGGCATATATTTTCTAGAAACTGAAAACATCTCTAGAAACATGAAAACATCCAAAGTGGGTCTTGAGTCCCATAGATGTGCAAATATTCTCTAGAAACTGGTCAGCTATGTTTTTGATGCCTGACTGGCTGTTATAGACATTTTAAACTTTGAGACCAGTGGATTAAAGGATTATATGGCATCCTGGTTCTTCTCCTGAAAGGTGAACTGAGAAACACTGGGTAAAATTCAATTAAGTTACATTAACAAATCATACAAGCCCAACTCAGTACTCGAGGCAGAATTGGCACCGATAACTACTAGTGCACTTCTGTCTAGTCTGCTACCTTTATTCCCCTGTCTTGTTAAAAGGAATATTCTAGAAAAGACAAAGAGCCATCAGAGTCCAAAAGAGTCATCAAAAGAGCCTGTTAATCACCAGCATCACAATCATCTGGAAAGTTTGTTAAAATGAGTATTTTCTGGGCCTCAATTTGAGATGCATTTGACTGGATCTTGCAAAATAAACTCTGAGCCAGGGCCTCACCTTTGGATCACCTCTGAGTCCAGTAACTTTGGTTAGAGTTGTGTTTCAAGGGGTGGCATTCACACTGAAGGCAGTAAGAAAGGTGTCCTTGTAAATGCATAGTAGGGTAGCCCTTACTGACTTCCACACAACTGGGTTTCTAGGAGGCCAGAAAATGGCTGGAATGTAAAGTAAAAACATTTTGCAGAAAAACATATGGATGGATACCTCTATGGATAGACGGCAGAGAAGTCAAATTGAATAGGCCTTAGTAGCCACACATAGCAATTTCTCACATGCACCAGCAGCTGTAACTGAAGTCTTGGTCCATCAGGCCTAATAATCTCATATTGTGGCTAATACTTGCCGTCACTTTAAAATACTGCCTGTGAACGTAAATTCCCAAAACACCTCGGCCACACAGGTGAAATTTTCTTTTCTTGAAAGGAATCAAAATAATTCCCAAGGTGACTAAGTGTTAATTCCAAACTGATGACAACTTTTCACCAGCAAGGAGAGTCTCCTCATCTACCATGCTGCGTGAGTCCAAGTGATGGGCCATGGCAGCGCATAGGAACCGCAGCTAAGCCTCTGGAATTGCTGCCACAGGACCAGGAGCAAAACATACACCACGATCCCTCCATACCCCTGAGGTTCTAGCCTTCCAGTGTCTATGTGAAAATAATGGAAATCATAACTCCCTATGTTGGGTGCTGCTTATATCCTAGGCATGGAATACAGTCTGAGCTAGCCTTTCATGAATAGACGGGTTTCACCCCAGTAAGACTTGAGGAAAAGGTTGTAAAATAGGGAAGGTGTGCCACTTACTGCCTCGCCACTACATGGTGTTATGTGAGTTTCAGCCTACTAAAAATACTGCACTTGATTCTTATCCTATTTTATTTAAATATTCAACACTAACAAGAACACAATTTATTTGCCATGCAGGTAGTTAGAAAGCAATCTTGTTCCACACTGGTAAGCACCACGAAGACATCTCCAAGGAATAAGACCACACAAAGACTGTCTGTGGGTATTGTTCAGAATAAATTCAGCTCCTGGCGTGAGTAAACATGCAGTGCCCCCTCGTGGTCACAAGAGGCCACAGGAGCATGTCCAAGGTAAGAGCAACAGCTTGGAAATGGGGCCCCAAACAGGGTATTTGGTGTGATTGATGGTGCTGATTTATAAAGCCGTTTTTCCCTGCTTACATGGCACTGCAGTAAGTTCCAGTAGTCAGCTTGTTTGTCAAAGTGAAAATCTCAAAAGCACCCATTCCTCCTTTTAGAGGAGCATGGTCTTCCATTTTACCAAATCTTTCATTTGTTTATCAAAGAAACATACATTCACTCAACAAACATTTACTGATTGCCTACTAAATGTGAAGAATTTTTCTGGGCATTGGGAATATCGATGGGAAAAATAGAAACAGTCTTTGCCCTTGTAGTGATTGTTTCATGAACACTGGGGATACATATGTTAATAATGATTATGACTTGAGTTTAACTGATTGCAAAATAGAGTGACAGGTTCATACTTAATCCTCATTACAGATGTAGAAAATAAGGCAAGAAGTCATGCTATCACCACTATGCCATTCCGCCACCCTAGATCATAGACTGTGTTGGAAGGACTCCACGAGACCATGAAGTCAAACCCTTTCAATGGTAGTGGTGGCAGAATGCGGTTGTGATCAGGAGTATGGACTTCAGACCTGGAGCGGTGGCTCATGCCTGTAACCCCAACAATTTGGGAAGCCAAGGTGGGTGGATCACTTGAGGCCAGGAATTTGAGACCAGCCTAGCCAACATGGCAAAATCCTATCTCTATTAAAAATACAAAAATTAACCACTTGTGGTGGTGCACACCTGCAGTCCCAGCTACTTAGGAGAGACATGAGAATTGCTTGAACTCAGGAGGCAGAGGTTGCAGTGAGATGAGATTGCACCACTGCACTCCCGCCTGGGTGACAGAGAGAGACTATCTTAAAAAAAAAAAAAAAAAAGAGTATGGACTTTGGGTTGCAAAGTCAGGATGACCCACATTTTAGCTCTGTGGCATGTGCAAGTCACTTAATCTAAGTCTCCATACTCTCCTCTTTTTGATGAATATTATAACATTAACTTGTAGGTTTGTGGTGATATTAAGAGGATCCAAAAGTAAAATGCTCAGGTAAGCAAGTGTCAGAGGTGTTTCAGGCAGTGAAAGGGGACCATCATTCTGGGGGGCAACAGGGAGTTGCTCCATAAACCATTGTTCCTTGTACACTTGCTTTTCATTTTTATCTAGAAGGTAAAAATGTGATATTCACAATACTGCAGAACAAATAGAACTGTGACTTTCATTTCACATTGTACTTTTGTGTTCTTTTCAAGGGTTTGGCACATTCCGAGTCATCCTATTTTTCCCTTCTTTAGTATATCATAGGAGCACATTTAGATGTTGTACTAGCTCTTTTGGGAGCACATGAGGATGCCTACCATCCCCATACTGATGCTACACTTATGGTGACTGGCTCATGGCTGGGTTCAATAATGTTAGTTAATATTGAAAAATATTACTCTTCATTTAATATTATAGGCAATATTATTAATAGCATAATCAATACTACTATCATTACTACCTTGATCAGATCTGCCTAAAATGGCCCTCAGGCAATAAAATGGTAGCCCCAAAATCTATGATCTTAGTTCAAAGTATGTCACATCCAGATCATTTTGGACACTGCCCCTGAGAATGTGATCCCATATGGAGTCAGAACACACAAAAGCAGTAAAATCTTCCAGGCCATAATGAGTGGTAGAGTCAGGGCCATCACAGATGCACAGTGTCACACTCCTTCTTTGCCTTTAAGATGAAGGATTTTATGGTGGTGGGGAGAGGAGTTATTAAATTGTGAAGGCAGAGTTGAAAGGAAACTAAGGATGACCTATTCCAGGTGTCCCTTATTCATGAACCAGGCAGATAACACACACTTGTGATCTGGTTTGGAGGTGAGACCATGATAAACCAAGGAGCAAGTAATGCCCTATCTTGTGAGAGTAGCCACAACTCAGAACTGGATCATTGTTTTTAGGTGGGAATGAGCACATGCCTTTGCCAGCTCTGCAAATATACTAAAAGAAGTCAAAACTCTGGAATTTATATGTTTCCTGGTTTTTCAAAGCATACTTTGTTTCTATGCAGGCCAAACAAAGCAGGTCAGAGACCAAAATTCAGCCTGCAGAAATTTTATTTGCCATTCTGACCTATTTAGTTCCCCATATTTTAAAGAATGAAACCTGAAGTTTAGAGAGGGGAAAGGGCTGTCGTCACATGGTTAGTCAACAGTAAAGACAGAAGAAGACAAGAGAATAATCTGCCCCTCATTTTAATAGGGAGCTAATATATTTCTCAGATATTATCTTTTCCCTCTCACACATCTTGTTACATCTGCCATTTATGAAAAGACTCAACCACAATGACCCAAGTAGGGACATTTCATCTACAGTTGGCCTCTGTTTTCCAGAAAGTGCCAATTTCAGGGAAAAAAAAATCCATGCTGATTTGGGTAAGAAATGCAGCCCAGATGGATCAAAAGCGCTTAGAGAAAAGAAGGTTGCATTATAAGCTGAATTATTATTTGTGTGTCTACAAGTAGCTTACATATGGAAAGAGCTATTCAGTCAATGTAATGAGACTTGGGGCCATAATCATCTTTAAATAGGAAAAAGGAAGGATGGAGGAGCTTAATTACCAACTTAAGATTCCTACTGGGATTTGGAAAGTTTGCATTACAGCCCCATTTTGAGAACTAACTAGCCAGTGACTTGGAAAAGTCACTTTGGCTCTGCAGCTCTCCTGGGATGATTAATCTCCCCTACCCTGAACATCAAAATGATTAAACTTTTTCTACGTATTAACGTAAATATCTAGCAAATCTGACACCTAGGACAAACAACAGAAAGCTCAATGCTGCATTGGAGGGATCCACGAAGCAAGCAACATGGGACCTCTTACCCTTGATCTTGGGTGTTGGAATCTCTCTCTCTTCACTGTCATGAAGCAGGCCCTGGTGCTGAGGCAGAGCCTGGCACTGCAGCTAAGGAGGTGTTGTGAAGAGAAGGGGACAGCTTGCCAAGTAAGAACAGTGTATAAAAACTTACCCCCACCTTTAAATACATTAAGAAGTTTGCATCCTGTGAATTTCAGGATCCTTGCTCTCCAGGTCCAGTTCATGGCTGTATCTGAAGGGAGCCATTTTTCATATCTCTATGTCCTATACTAGAATGATGCTTTTACTATTCTAATGACAGTCACTTTTATTGCTTCCCCTTATACAACTGAGCAGTAGAAAAGTTGGGAGCCCTTGACTCCCAGAAGTAGAAATATGAATGGAGAGATGATGTGGCTTGCCCAAGTTATGGAGCCGGTGAGTAGCAGAGATGCAGTCAGGCCTCAGGGCCAGCTCCACACCCCGTTCTTCTTCCCTGACTTAGAAGCAGATGCTCCTGTGTTGGGGACCAACTTCTTCCAACCGTGAGCTCTCTTTTCTATGAAAGGGGCTTTGGTGACACTGTTTTAGCTTCACACTAGTCACCTTTCACTCTACAGCATGTTTCTAATTAGTATGAGAGGGAGGGAAAAAAAGAAATGACACTTTGACGCTGGGGCAGAAGGAGGAGGAGTGAGAGAAGGATTAATTGTCTCCCAGCTGTCAGAACAGTAATTAAATTCAGGTTGTTGACTCCAGCCTTGCTTCAATAATGTGAAATGAATCTCCAAATGCATCCACATTTCCACGGCCTTTTGCTTTTGTGCTGAAAGCAGGATGGCCCGAACAGCATGCAAACAGAGAGTGACAGGTCCTTGGCCAGTATCCAGCTCCAAGCAGCTATTTGGAGCCGAGCAGGGCTAGGGGCTCCCTAACTTTCAGTGTTCTTTATAAAACAAAAACACTAGACTTTTGTATTCATGCAGGGTCACCTATGGAGGGAATGAGACTAAAGCTTTAGGAAGTCTTTTTTAAAAGAAGAGACAAGCATATTATTCTCAGTCCCAGTAATTTTAAACCATTCCAAAGGGAAGTTAGGGTTTTGTAATCAATGATGTTAAATTGCAGATGTGGAATCCCCAGCTCCTGGGCTAGGGGGTTCTGGACTCTAACACAGATTGACATTGACTCTGTCTGACTTTAAGCACAGTGTATTTTGCCTCTGGACCTCAGAATAAATTTCTGTCCTAAGATTAGACTACAGTAATCCTTTTCCAGTCCTCGATTCTATGACCTTCCCACATTCCATGAAAATCTATTCATGTCTAAGTATTTCAGGCTCTTTCCCTAATAAAATTGTAGCTACGGAATGATCTGAATTTTCCCCTGGCCTTGAGATACTTAGAAAAAGGGATGCCTACCTGTGTAGGTAGGAAATAATAGCTTGTCAACACATCATGAACTTTAATGATTCTAGACTCCCCTTGTACCTGGCTCCCTGATGCCAGGAATTCATTTTGGTGGGAAAAGTCCTAATGCCCTCAGAGTCTAAGTTTAAAACCCTTGAGAGAACTCAAAGGCCATCTTCCCAAGGTACAGATGACTGCTGTCAGAGTCTTCCCTTCAGCAAGTGAAGATTCTGGAAATAGCATGCAATTCCTTGACATCTAGGAGTGGAGGTGCCATGAATAGGGGTAAGAGGACAAAAACAAAGGGTGATTCATGCACTATCTTGTCCCAGGCCAGCTCTGACTAGCAAGACTTGTTGCCAACAGAAAATTTCATGTTTTTTTCCTGAAAAAGAAACAGCAAGAGAAGAAACACAGAGCTTGAGTCTTCGTCATCTTATCAGAAAACTAAAAACAATGGTAATTCCTACAGAGAACTATTATTGCAAGCATCTAAGAAAGGATGCAAAATACTTTTGAGTATGCTATTTCATTGGAACGATAGTGTTGAATATTTGTGGAACAGAAATGAAAAATAACTTTTACAGAGGAACAAATATGGGCCAGATACTCTAAGTACTTTACTTGCACTACTTTATTTAATCCCCTTATGATATAAATACTACCTATCCTTCCTCCCTATCCCGCAACTCACTACTGTGAAGCCCGAGGTTTAGAGAGGATGTCATGGACTCAAGGGAAAGCACTTGGCCAATTATGAATCCAGGATTTAGGTAAATCTTTCTGGTTTCAGAAGCTGTATTCTTTTTTGTTTTAGATACAGGATCTCACTCTGTCACCCAGGCTGGAGTGCAGCAGCACGATCATAACTCACTGCAGACTCCAACACCCGGTTCAAGTGATCCTCCCACCACAGCCTCCTGAGTAGCTGAGATTACAGGTGCATGCCACCATGCCTGGCTTTTTAAACAATTTCAACGTTTTAGATTCAGGGTGTACATACGCCGGTTTGTTACATGAGTATATTGTGAATGCTGAGGTTAGGGATATGGATCCCATCTCCTAGGTAGTGAGCATAGTATTCAATAGGTAGTTTTTCCAACCCATGGCCCCTTCTGCCCCTCCCCTCTCTAGTAGTCCTTGGTATCTACTGTCTCCATCTTTATGTCCATGAATACCTGTTGTTTAGCTCCCACTTAAACTACAGAGAATATGCAGTTATCTGGTTTTCTGTTCCTCTGTTAACTCACTTAGGATAATAACTTTCAGCTACTTCCATGCTGCTGCAAAGGACATAATTTCATTTTTCATGGGTTTGTAGTATTCCATGGTGTATATGTACCACATTTTATCCAGTCTACCGTTGACAGACATCTAGGTTGATTCCATGTATTTGTCATTGTGAATAGCACTACGATGAACATACAACTGCACGTGTCATTTTGGTAGAATGATTTATTTTTCTTTGGGTATATGCTCAGTAATGGAATTGCTGAGTTGAATGGTAGTTCTGTTTTTTTTGTTGGTGGTATTTTTTTTTTTTTTTTTTTGAGACGGAGTCTCATTCTGTCACCTAGGCTGGAGTGCAATGGCATGATCTCGGCTCTCTGCAACCTCCACCTCCCAGGTTCAAGCAATTCTCCTGCCTCAGCCTCTCAAATAGCTGGGATTACAGGCACGTGCCACCATGCCCAGATAATTTTTGTATTTTGAGTAGAGATGGGGTTTCACCACAGCCTGGCTGGTCTTGAACTCCTGACCTCAAGTGATCCACCCACCTGCGCCTCCCAAAGTACTGGGATTACAGGCATGAGGCACTGCACTAGGCTGGTAGTTCTAAGTTCTTTGAGAAATCTCACAACTGCTTTACATAGTAGCTAATTTGTATTCTCACCAACAGTGCATAAGCAGTCCCTTTTCTCCACAGCCTCACCAGCATCCATAATTTTTCAATTTTTTTGTAGACAGGGATCAGAAACTATTTTTTTTTTTTTGAGACAGAGTCTTGCTCTGTGGCCCAGGCTGGAGTGCAATGGCACGATCTTGGCTCACTGCAACCTCCGCCTGCTAGGTTCAAGCTATTCTCATGCCTCAGCCTCCCAAGTAGCTGGGAGTACAGGCGCTTGCCACCACGCCCAGCTAATTTTTGTATCTTTAGTAGAGATAGGATTTCACCATGTTGGCCAGGGTGGTTTAGAACTCCTGACCAGAGGTGGTCATCCTGCCTCAGCCTCCCAAAGTGCTGGGATTACAGGCATGAGACACCGCGCCCAGCCAGAAACCGTATTCTTAATGAACCAAAACCCAGTAATGCAAGTGAGCTCCCTATCATCAGACGTGTCCACACAGAAGCTGGAGATCCAAGTATCATGAACATTGAATGAGGTGGGAGTTAGAGACTCTTAAGCTCATTCTGAAAGAATGCATATTCTATAGACATAGGTATTAGTTTAAATACTTGGCATTCCTTAATGGTTGAAGAGGGCAACCATCAAGGGCTAAGTCACATTCTCTAAAGTAAAGACTACCTTCTTGGGAGAAGTTACCTTCTTTTATTTTAAACCACTTTATTGAAGTATAATTGACATAAAAAAGCTGTATATATTTAATGTTAACAACTTGATGAGTTTAGGGATAAGTATACACCTGTGAAACCATCCCTACAATCTATGCCATACACTTATCCATTACCTCCAAGAGCTTCCTTCTATCCTATTTTTGTGAGTGACAAGAACACTTAACATAAGATCTACCTCTCAGATTTTTTTTTTTTTTTTTTTTTTTTTTTGAGACGGAGTCTCGCTCTGTCGCCCAGGCGGGACTGCGGACTGCAGTGGCGCAATCTCGGCTCACTGCAAGCTCCGCTTCCCGGGTTCACGCCATTCTCCTGCCTCAGCCTCCCGAGTAGCTGGGACTACAGGCGCCCGCTACCGCGCCCGGCTAATTTTTTTTTGTATTTTTAGTAGAGACGGGGTTTCACCTTGTTAGCCAGGATGGTCTCGATCTCCTGACCTCATGATCCACCCGCCTCGGCCTCCCAAAGTGCTGGGATTACAGGCGTGAGCCACCGCGCCCGGCCTACCTCTCAGATTTTTAAGTTATACAATATTGTCAACTATAGGCACCACACTATATAGATCTCAAGGGCTTATTAATTTTGCATAACAAATTTTATGCCCTTTGACTAATATCTCCTGATTTTACTCATACTTTCAGCCCTTAGCAACCACCATTCTACTCTCTGCTTCTATGAGTTTGGCTATTTTAGATTCTTCACATAAATGATATTGTGCAGTATTTTCCCTGTGTCTGGCTTATTTCACTTTAGCATTATGTACTCCAGGTCCATTCATGCTGCCATAAATGGCAAGATCTTTTCCTTTAAGACTGAATAATATTCCACTGTATGTATATACCAGATTTTCTTTATTCATCTGCCTCTGGCCATTTAGGTTACTTCGTGGTCTTGGTTAATTTGAATAATGCTGCTATGAACACGTGAGTGCAGATCTCACTTCAAGATTCTGATTTCAATTTCTTTGAATATATACCCAAAGGATTGCTAGATCATATAATTGTTGGTTCTACTTTTAATTTTTTACCTCCACACTATTTTTCATAGTGGCTGCACCAATTTGCATTCCCACCAACAATGTACAGGGTTCTTTTTCTACACATCCTCACCTGCACTTTTTTTTAATATAACAGCCATCCCAACAGGTATGAGATGATACCTCACTGTGGTTTTGATTTGCATTTCCCTGATGATTAGTGATATTGAGCACATTTTCAAGTGCCTGTTGTCCATTTGTATATTTCTTTGGAGAAATGTCTGTTTAGTTCTTTAGCCCATTTTTAAAATGGGTTATTTGATTTTTGGATATTAAGTAGATATTCCTTATATGTTTTCAATGAATATTTACCCTTTATCAGATATGTTTGTATGTATTTTCTCGCATTCCATAGATGGCCTTTTAATTTGGTCATTTCCTTCTGCAGAACCTTTTTAGTTTTACCTCTATTTCTTTGAAATTTGCTCAATTACCCCTTGATTTCTCAGAATATGCATTTTCCTCCCCATCCAATTACTCATTGTCTAAGCCTCTATCTTCAGTGCACTCCACCATGGGCTCTGGTATTCAATCCCCATGCCCTCTCATTAACCCAATTTTCTTTTTCATGATCTGCAAGAAAACCATGACTAATATAACTTCCTTTGCTCTGTGCTGTTGGCCCTGCGTACTTGCCACTAGCTAATGGGAACAAAAAGGTAATTAATTCACTCAGGTACCATTATCGCTGCTATGAAAAGAAAAAAGTCTATTGTTCATATTTTTAGAAGCTTTAAAATTAACCTTTATGGGAAAGAAAATCTGCCTTTGGATACAAAGATAACATCACATTTCTCTAGTTTTCATCTATGGCCTGATTTTAATCAGCAAGCATTTACCAAACACCTATTGTGTATGCAGACTTATGCATAAAAAGAATCAACTTTGAAGAAATTATAAGGAAGACTCTTTTCTGATATGGATGGGAAATAGATCATTGTCCATAAGTTATTTTTAAATAATTAAAATTTATCCTTTGGATCCCAAAACTTCAGAAAATAATGCAGCCTTTTGTTCTGCAAAATTTCTACAAAAAACATTTTCTCAGCTATTTAAATTGGGTATACATGCAATTAGATAAACCTCCTTTTTAATATGCATATCAATTACATGATAGGCTATGATACATTAATTCTCTTGGGGATCATCATGCTTTTTGCCTTCATGTTATATATCCCACAAGATATGAATACTGCTGGAAATGTTGAGTCTTTTATACATCTATATGTATTTTGTTTAAAGACCACCAGTCACCCACGCACATATACACTCATTCAGATACACACTATTTGATTAGCCAAAGTCTCTGTGAATGTTTGTGTCCCTGCCTTCAGCCCCACATTCTGAATTGCTGCTCCTTATCTTCTAAGTTCTAAGAAAAAGTCATGGTAGTTCATCTGCAAATATAATTGCCAACAATTCCTCCCATTAATAAGTGGATCTACTTGAATCTGGATCAGCCTTATGACTTTCTTTGACCAAAAGAATGCTTCAGAGGTGATGCTATGCTGGTTCTGGGCCTAGCCCTTAATAGGTCTGACAGTTTCACTTCCACTCTAAAAACCCAACCTCCATGCTGTAAAGCACCTCAGAACAAACTACTAAATAATGAGAGGCCCAGGACAAGAGGCAGGCCTCAGAAGATGAAAGGCTGTCTTGGACACTGCAGCCCCATCCCTGATCCCCCTGTTAAATGCAGCCACTTGAGTGACCTTAGCCTATACCATGTAAGGCAGAACCAACCAGCTGAGTCCAGTAAACCCACAGATTCATTGAAAATAACTAGCTGTTGTTGATTTTAGCCACTAGATTTTTGGTTGGTATGAAATATTTTGGAATCACATATAATGAGAATAAAGGAGCTCTAAACATGCAAGTTTGTGTATATAGTGACTCGTCACTTCTATGAACTAAATACATCAGATTTAATAATAAACTCTGGCATCTATTCATAATGGTCAAAAAACTAATTTTTTTACCCTTCTAATTATGGCTGTATTCTATAAAGTTGGTATTGCTAGATAAATGGGGAACTGTTGGAAAGGGGAGAGAGAGTCCGTTTTCAAAACGTATCTAAGGAAAAGATGTAAAGTCAGACCTGAACATGCTATGATGCAAGATGGGAAGATGAGACTGATTGAAACCAATGAAGGTCATGTTAGAAACCAGGAATACCATGAGGTAGGGAGAATGGGTGGTGGGTGGCAGGTGGCAAATAACAAATGAGCTTAAGAACTTTGTGAGATGTGCTTTTGAAACAGAATGTCAATTTTAAACATAAATTGGATAATATAAGAATAGTTGTTATCTTTGGCTAGAACCAACTGGAAGTTTACAGTTTGGCCTAGAATTTTATAAACTCTCAAAAAGCTAATAAATTAGTAGAGGTATAAAGTAGGCATAATCATTTATTCAACCAGTATTTGTTGAGCGCTTGTTCTAGCTGACAGACACATGTCAGTGAGGACACAGCCAGACAACCACGCCTTCATCAAGACTTCACCCTTTCTAAAGGAGGTAGATAATAAACCGAATAAGCAGATAATTCATTGTAGATTAGACAAGAACTATGGGGGAAAAAAAACAGCCCAGAGATAGGTAATCAGAAATGCTGTGAGAAAGTTGTGATTTTAAGTAGGGTGGTCAAGGAAGATCTCATGTAGAAAGTGGCACTGAAGCAAAAACTTGAAGAAGGAATGAACCAATCATGGGAAAAGAGGTGGGGGAGTGGAGCATGCATGGCCAAGGATAGCCACTGAGAAGGTTATGAAGAGGGAGAAAGCCTCGCATGTGTGAGGCACAAGGGGGACAGTGTGGCTGGAGTAAAATGGGTGAGAGGGCAAGAATAAGAGGAGAGATCAGCATAGTGATAGAGGAAAGTCCCTCAGGGCCATCCAAAGCACTTTGGCTTTCACTCATAATGACCAGTTTTGTAAATATATCATTCCAGCTATGACATGTTGAGAATCAAATAGAGAAGAAAAAGGAACAGGTTATTTACTTGATCTAGTGGAGAACTAATAGTGACTTAAATCAGGGTGGTACACACGCAAACATGCACCAAACATGCACACACACACACACACACACACAAATATTTAGATCTATAAAGAACTTTGGAGAAGAATGAGTCACAGAATCACAAATATGGCATTGAAATTTCTTTCTAACCCTGAGGCTTTTGGACCCTGACTAGGTGCTAACAAGGCAAGATTCTAGGGGATTTAATAAAATTTCCAGAGACTTTCTAAGAATGGCTAGGATGTTCACCACAACATCCTAGCCATTCTTAGGATGTCTCCTGAAATTTTATCACCAGAATTTTAGTATCTTTTTTTTTTTTTTTTTTTTTGAGACAGTCTCGCTCTCTCGCCAGTCTGGAGTGCAGTGGCGTGATCTCGGCTCACTGCAAGCTCTGCCTCCCGGGTTCACGCCATTCTCCTGCCTCAGCCTCCCGAGTAGCTGAAACTACAGGCGCCCGCCACCACGCCCGGCTAATTTTTTGTATTTTTAGTAGAGACAGGGTTTCACCGTGTTAGCCAGGATGATCTCGATTTCCTGACCTCGTTATCTGCCTGCCTCGACCTCCCAAAGTGCCAGGATTATAGGTGAGAGTGAGCCACCGCGACTGGCCATTTCAGGTTTTTTTTGTTTTTTTTTCTGAGACGGAGTCTCGCTCTGTCGCCCAGGCTGGAGTGCAGTGGCGCGATCTCAGCTCACTGCAAGCTTCGCCTCCTGGGTTCACGCCATTCTCCTGCCTCAGCCTCCCGAGTAGCTGGGACTACAGGTGCCCGCCACCACGCCCAGGTAATTTTTTGTATTTTTAGTAGAGACGGGGTTTCGCTGTGTTAGCCAGGATGGCTCCTGACCTCGTGATCTGCCTGCCTTGGCCTCCCAAAGTGCTGGGATTACAGGTGTAAGCCACCGCGCCCGGCCTTCAGTATCTTTTTTTAAGGAGTCCATTTCTATTTAAACATGAACTACCCCTGGGACTTGAACTCTATGAATAATTATCATACATCTGTTTGAATGAAGAAATTGAGGAGAAAAAGAATGGTTTTAGGTAAAAGAGGATTAGACTTGCGCTACACATTCACCAGAAGAAATGCTTTATGTGGAAACTAAAGGAAAACTGATTATCAAAGAAAAAAAAAAACAGGCAATTGATAAATACAATAGCCTTTGATGGAGGCTAGGGTTTTTGTGAAGAAGGCTCTTCATTTTGGTCCAAAGTGCCATGAAGGGGAGATAAGAAGCAGGATCTGTGAGAGGAAAAGCTTCCTGTTGTGCCACATATTCCTTCTCTACAACTTCCAGGTCTGCAGTAAACTCAGGAAATCCTTACAGTGAGGGGTGTGTGTGTGTGTGTGTGTGTGTGTGTGTGTGTGTGTGTGTGTGTGTTGTGTGAACACAAAGAGGCTGATAAAACAGACAGCACGGTGAGCAGGGATAAAACAGTATAAGAGGCTATGGAGGCAAATAGCAGAGGCACCGAAACCAGATTGAGAAATGAGGGAACATTTAACAGAATGAGAGACCTCTAAGCTGAGAGCAAAAGAATGAGTAGACATTATTAAATTGAAGGTAGTGATGATGGGAGGGTGTGTAACATTCCAAATAAGGGCAGTGTCATGTGCAAAGATCTTCAGGTGAAAAAAAGGAGAACAGGCTCTTTCAAAGAAATCAGAAAGTGGCTCGCTGTATTGGAGAATGGGCCCAGGGTGTGGGCCAGAAAGCAGTGGAGGAAACTTTATACTAGATTGAGCATTGAGACAAAAGTCTTAAGAGCCATCAAAAAGTTTTAAGAAAGGAACTGATCAATTTTTACATTAGACAACTTTCTATGTCTTCTGTGAGCAGAGAATCCACTTAAGGTACTTTATAATAGCCAGGAGAATAATGATGGTGGCCTAGATAGTGAAGACTTTTTTTCAAGTAAAGATATTTAGAAGTACTTAAGAGTTAAAGTAGATAGAACATCCTGACTGACCACATATGTCAGTGAGGTAAGGGAGGGAAGCAGAGATGGTGGCTAAGTAAGTGTGTGTGTGTGTGTGTGTGTGTGTGTGTGTGGAGCAAATTTGGGGTTTTAAAGATTAAGCACTACACAGTGGAAAGAGCACAACACTTCTTGTCAGAAAACCTAGATTCTATTCTACTGAGGCTATGGAAACTTCCTCTGTTCCAGTGGTCAAGAGACCTTCCTCCATGTAAGGTGCAACATGTATTGATCTTGGAAAAACAGGAGACTCCAGCTTGAATGTGGGAGCCAGGCGGGTGCTGCAGACAGAAGGAACATCCCTCTCTGACGTCTGGCAGGGGGCCACATAATGCACTGATTCCATTTGGCAGAAGCAAAGTAGTTAATGAAAACTCCTCTTTCAAGATGTGACATGTTCCGCGTGAGCTGTCAGAAGGAAAGTTTACATAATGAAGAGTACTGGCATGGATCAAAGCCATCTGGAGTAGCCCAGTTCCCCTTTGGGCATCTTGTGACTGGGGAGTCCTTATGAGAGAAAAGCAGAAAGATGAATTCTGGTTCTGTGAACAGTCAGCCAAGGCGATTAGCTCATGGCACTAAAAAGATTGAGATTAGAGGTTTGATTTTTAGAGGATCAGTGAATGTAATGTTGCATACTGACTACTTCTTGGATACAGGACCATCTAGAATTCATTTACTCTACTTCTAAGAATAGCCCCCTATTTCAAGTTGTCCTGTCATTCATTCCATAGTTCAGGTGGTGTAGACTCACAGGTGGCACTCCATTGCTCAAGCCTCCACGTTGCTTCTTGGGTGACCCTGTGAAATGTGTGATCCCAAACGGAGAAAACTCCTTTTCTGGAGTTGTGAGGACCAAGGTGCACCCTCTGCCACACACACACACACACATTTTAGATTTCAATATGGAATGATGTAATTCTAGCTAACTCACTTCTCTGACCGCTCTGACAGAGGGAACTCACAAAGCCAGTGATGACTTGAGAATAGAGACCAGGTTTCCTTACTGCCAGTCTTGTACTCTTTCCACTTGTACTCTTTCCACTGTGTGGAAAGAGTACTTACTCTTTAAGATATAGAATGCTCTTTTAAAAGTATGAGTTGAGTCACTAAAAGAGGAGATGTCTTTTTTGATAACGGAACCAATCCAAAGACAGAGGAAATGAGTGATGATTCATTATTTCATCATTTGAACCTTGAATCCAGTGCTGTCTTTGGGCTTTTTAGTTATAGAAGCCAATATATTCCTTTGATTTTTAGATCACCATGAGTTAAGTTTTGGTTACTTGTGAAACAAAGATTCTTAATTGATACACAGACTTTTTTCTCTCTGAATTCAAAAGATTCTCTTAAACCTAGTTTCTGGTTTTATAATCACATTACATTGAGTAGTAAAGAAGGAGGAGAGGAGGAAGTACTCCCTCTTTATTCTATCAAAATGAATTGCCTATCCCCTGACTTCAAGTTCTATCCACACATTATCCAATAACTGATGGCAAAACAGAGGTGGTCCCAGGGTCTCTGTAAGTAAGAGGCAGATAATGTCCCACATGTCGTACTTTCTCATGTGGCTGTTATAAGTATGAAATGACAACATGCTTATGAATGAATTTTGTCAAGTCTAAAGTCTAGTAGAACTATATCGTATTATGATTAGTTCAAAATATATGCTCTGGTGATAGCAATTTAATATCACATAGAGTTATGAAAACAACCTGCCAAGAGAGTAAATATACATAGTTAGTGCTGGACTAGGCAAGATGAAAAGGTTAAGCAGTCATTCAAGTCAGTGTTAGTCATTAGAGATCACTAATTAGTATATCTGTAATACATATTGCTAGTTAACTGAAAAGTTGCATTTCTGTAGAACAAAGCACATGACATTTTGCATTTTTAAAAAATCATTTAAAAGTAATTCTCTTGGCTCTAGAACCCAAACTAATGTACCATGACTCTATAGACAAAAAAACAAAAAAGTATATAAACAGAAACCTGTATTATAAATTCAAGTTCTTGACAATTTTTAAAATCAATGAAGCTGACAAAAATTACTGCTGAAAAACACAGCAATTTGCCAGCACCCCAACCAGGGGCATTTCATCTGCGTAATCACTTGTATCTCACACCATATATCACTAATCTGTGGAGTCTGAATGTCTATACATTTAGAGAAGAAACTCCAAATCAAGGATTGACAGCTTTAAAAATAGTCAAGTTATTTTAGGTCCATTTCCTATTCAGTTCTTTACTTTCCCATATTTTCTTTCAAAAGCTTTCAAAAAGTAAATGTCTCCAGACCTCATAAGTTAGCTTCCTTCCAGCAATATCATAAAAGAAATTTAAAAAAAGTTTTTAATCCTACTTTTAATCATTTTCGATTGATTATGGATATAACATTTATATATATATATATATATACTTGCCATCATTACCTTTTTTTTTTTTTTTTTTTTGAGACGGAAGACTCACTCTGTCACCCAGGCTGGAGTACAGTGGTGGAATCTTGGCTCACTGCAACCTCTGCCTCAAGTGATCCTTCTGCCTCAGCCTCCCAAGTAGCTGGGACTACAGGCTCATGCCACCATGCCCGGCTAATTGTTTTGTATTTTTAGTAGAGAAAGGGCTTTGCTCTGTTGGTGAGGCTGATCTTGAACTTCTGACCTCAAGTGATCTGCCCGCCTTGGCCTTTCAAGGTACTAAGATTACAGGCGTGAGCCACCATGCTCAGCCCATTACCATTTGTAAGTGTACAGTTAGGTGATAATAATTATATTTATATTCTTTTCCCCTTCATATCCCTTCTTCTCAACCCTTCCTGGCCTCTGGGAACCACCAATCTACTCTCTATCTTCATGAGGTCCACTTTTTAAACTCCTACATATGAGTGAGAACATGTACAATGTGTCTTTCTGTGCTTGGCTTATTTCACTTAACGTGATAACCTCCAGTTCTATCTATGTTGCTGCACATGGCAGGATTTAGTTCTTTTTATGACAATATTCCATTGTCTACACATTACACATTTTCTTTATACATTCATCCACTGATTCAACATTTAGGTTGGTTCCATTTCTTGGTTATTGTGAATAAAACTACAATAAACATGAGAGTGTAGATATCTCTTCAATGTGTTGATTTCCTTTATTTTAGTTATATACCTAGTAGTGGAAGTACTGGATCGTATGGTAGGTCTATTTTTAGTTTTTTGAGGACCCTCCATAGTGGCTGTACTAACTCACATTCCCACTAACACTGTACAGGTTTCCCCATCTCCACATCCTTGATAGCATCTGCTATTGCTATTTTTTATATACAAGCTATTTTAACTTGGGTAAGATGATATCTCATTGTGCTTTTTTTTATTTCTCTGATGATTAGTGATGTTGAGCATTTTTTTGTATACCTATTGGCCATTTGTCTTTTGAGAATTGTCTATTCAGACATTTTGTACATTTTAATTGGTTTTCTTGGTTTTTTTGTTTTGTTTTGTTTTGTTTTTGCTATTGAGTTATTTGAGCTCCGTATATATTCTGGTTATTAATCCCTTGTCAGATGCATACTTTGCAAATATTTTCTCTCATTCTGCGGGTTGTTTCTTCACTTTGTTTATTGTTTTCTTTGCTGATCAGAAGCTTTGTAGCTTGATGTAATCCCATTTGCCTATTTTTGTTTCGGTTGCCTGTGCTTTTGATGTCTTGCACAAAAAAAAGTCTTTGCCTACACCAATGTCCTGGACCATTTCCTGAATGTTTTCTTCTAGTAGCTTCAGGTCTTAGACTTAAGTCTTTAATTCATTTTGATTTTTGTGTGTGGTGAGAAATAGGGGTCTAGTTTCATTCTTCTGCAAATAGTTATTCAGTTTTCCCAGCACCATTTATTTCAAACCATCCTTTCCCTGTGCTATGCTCTTGGTGCCTTCAAAGATGAGTTGGCTGTAAATGCATGGATTTATATCTGGGCTCTTTATTCTATTCTATTGTCCATGTATCTGTTTTTATGCCAGTACCATGCTGTTTTGGTTACTATAGCTTTGTAGAAAAATTTGAAATCAGGTAGAGTGATTCCTCCAGCTTTGTTCTTTTTGCTCATGATTGTTTTACCTATTAGGAATCTTTTGTGGTTCGATATAAATTATAGGTTTTTTTTCTATTTCTTTGAAGAATGTTATTGGTATTTTGATAGCGATTGCATTGAATCTGTACATTGCTTTGGGTAGTGTTGTCATTTTAACAATATTAATTCTTCTAATCTGTGAGCATGGAATAGCTTATTTGTGTCTTCTTCAATTTCTTTCATCAGAGCTCTATAGTTGTCCACGTGTAGATCTTTCACTTCTTTGATTAGATTGACACCCAGTATTTTCTGGGTTTTATAGCTATTGTAACTGGAATTTTTTTCTTGATATCTTCTTCAGACTGTGTTGGTATAAATAAATGCTATAGACGTCTAAATGTGGATTTTGTGTCCTAAACTGTACTGAATTTGTTTGTCAGTTCTAAGAGTTCTTTTGTAGAGTCCTTAGATTGTTCTAGGTATGAGATCATGTCCTCTGCAAACAAGCCTAATTTGACAAATTCTTTTCCAATTTGAATGCCCTTTCTTTCTCTTGCCTATTTGCTCTGGCCAATATTTAATTTATATTAAGTTTATTAAACTGCTTATAAGCAAGAACCTTGCCTAACTTAACTTTTTGTTCCATGGTAGGCACTGATATTTTCAAATCAAATTACATAATACAGTTGACAAATGATCAAACGTGATGATAGATGCTGTGAGGTGCTCCAGCACTTAGGCTCTACGAAGAAAGATTCATTAGGAAGTGACTCCTGTAATGCAAAACAGGGATTGGTGCATGCCTCGGGAGATAACATGGTGCTCTCCATGGTACTGGCCCACACACAGCCTGAGTTTTGCATGATGTGGCTATTGCTGCTCCTTCAACTTTCTTTCCTACACAATACAATTCACTTAGCAAGCTCCACTTTCTGTCAGTTCTTCAAGCATACCAACCCAGTTCCTTTATTGGGGACTTCTTCCTTTTGTTCCCCAATATTCTTTCTATTGCTGTTTTTTTCTCACCTCTCAGATCTCAAATGGGGTGACAGGTTGTACCTGAACACCCCATAAAGTACACCCTTTCCCATTTTCCTCTAAGGACCTCATTTATTTCACAGCACCTAAGACAATCCCTATTTCTTTAAAAGGACACTAATTAATTGTCTACCACTCCTTCTAAATCTATGCTATGCAATTCAGTAGCCACTAGCTACATGTGTCTATTTACATTTTAATTAATTAAAATTACACAAAATTAAATTTTCAGTTCCTCAGTCACACCAGCCACACTTCAAGTGCTCAATAGCCACAAGTCGCATGCAGGTACATATTTAACAAAACAGATACGGCACATTTTCATCATTGTAAAAAGTTCTATTGGATAATGCTGATCTAGAATATAAGTTCCTCCAGCACAGGTGATAAAGCCTGGAATATATTACGTGCTCAAATGTTTGTTAAATAAATGTATCAATGAGTGAATAAAAAATAATAAAAGAAAAACTGAATGACTACTAGTGGGGGAAATGATTAAGACCAATAATTAAAATGAATGGTTGGGGTAGGTCATTTGGGAGGATTCAAGCCCCAGGACTGAGGCAGGGTTGTCACAGACATTACAAATGTGACTCTTGGTTGTTGACTGATTCTCTCCCCACATTAGACTATAAGCTCCCTGGGAGCAGGGACTTTTGCTTGCTCACTGTTGTATTTCCAACACTGAGAACAAAGCCTATCTATGGTAAGGAGATACAAACCATCTTGTCCCTTTTCATATAATTACTTTCACATATAAAAATGAAATGACAACTTTATTTCTAAAGAAGGTTGCATCCATTTTTCAAATATTTCATCCATATCATTGTCCTTCATATTGCTTCTTCCAAATCTTATTTGTCAATTCTCACTTTTTAAAATGTATAAATCTCTCAATGGTCTTGTGTAAACTACCTGACACCTACTTGAAAGCAGACAAGGGAATTCTCCCACTTTCAAGGTCATTTCCCCACTCCCCAGAATCAGCTGCCTCTTCGGGGCACGGCCTGTGCTCAGCCTCTCCTCTTTCTACTCCCATCAATTTGTGGGTACCTACTCTCAATTCTGACAAATACTGCCACTCCTAAGCTAAGCATCTAATAGCCACAAATGGGTTAAAGTGATTCCTCTGCCAAGGTAATTTGGATCCTTACAGAATTTCTTGGAGTTGTCTTAACACTGAATCTTACTCATCTCAAGGCTCAGCTTAAACCCCTTCTCCTTCATAAAACCCTCCCTTACCCCCAGAAGTAAATGCAAACATACTTTTGACTTTAGCCTACACACATTTGAAGTCAGTCATTTACTTGCATCAAATGATGCCAACATACAGCACTCCTCAGCCCCTCTACAACAAAGTGACTTCTTTATCCTCTCACCTCCCATAGCAATTTATCTATTCCTCTCCTGTGACACACATTACTGTCTATCTTGTATTGTACTGATTTATATCCAGGCCTTATCTCCATAAGAGAGCAAATCATCTTTATATATCCAGACTTACACAGAATAGGTATTCAATAAATGATTTTCAACTAAGTGAGATAGAGAGACTCGTGTTTGGCCCAGGGTTTGGATTTTACATATTTGCCTAATAATTTCTGCATGAAGCCTTTGTCAGAAATGGAGAGGAGAAAGAATTTCTGGGCCCTAGGACCTATGAAGGGAAAATAACAAACCATATATGAATACATAGGGATTTAATATAACATGATCTACAAAATATCAAAAGCTGCCCTAAATTTTTACCCCTATTGACACATCATGCTAAGGCAGTAGCTAGGGAGGTAGGAAAGGCCACTTTCTGGAAAACTGATGTATTTTTTATCGTTTGATTAGATAACAGGTGAGAATAAAAATATTAATAATGTGATTAATAGGCTATTAGCATGATACCCATAAATGTAAGACCATGATGAGAAAGGTAGAAAAGCCATCAATGGCAGATGCTTTATAAAGTAAATACTGTCTTACCAAATAATGGTGTAGACCCTGTGTTTTCTCTGATGTCCCTTCTCCTCAAGGTTATGACCCACCTGCACATTTCTGGTAATGGTACTCCAAATTCCAGCATTTGACACACATGTCTTTGAGTTAAAGCTTTTCATTTCTAAGGAGACTGACATAAATTTTAAAATCCTCTTAAAGTGTTAACATTCCAAGGGTAACGCATGAATATATGAGTATAATCATATATATATATATATTTAAAAAGCTCTCGCCTAGGAAATTTAGAACTGACCCCAATACTATTTGTCAGTGGGCCTCTAGTAAGTTCTGTGTGTCTGTTTGATTATGTGCAAACATAGCAATGTATACACAATCACACACAGACACATGTATGTACATACATGTGCTTATATACATCTACTTATGCAAATTTAACATACGTAATGAAAAGCCTACAGAGCACTATTTCTTTTCACAGAAAATTAGAATGTATTAGCAACTCATAAGAACAACTGATTCATATTTTCTGTTTTACATATGAAAAAACACGACCCAAAGTGGTGATATCATTTCCTTGGAAAAAAAAAAAAAAAAGATATTCATTCTATTTTCTCCTAGTGTAATTTTCCTATGGAGAATCAACCCAATTCTAAATCATTATGTTCAGGAGAGATCACCCCCATTCTTAACTCTAAGGATAAGCAGGTAGCCAAGGAACAGAAATACACAGCATATAGCCCTGGAACAGCATATAATACATCAGCCACAAACAGCCATAATAACTATAGAGGTGATTACTGAGTGATCTCTTTCCTGACAAGAAGCAAGAAAACTCGGCTATTTCATCCTCAGTGGCTGTAGTGATTGGTTTGGGAATGGTCACAGGAGACAAGTCAAGCCAACGTGCAGTACTAAGGTCTTTGGAGGTCTTATTAAAGAAAGGAAATGTCTCCTTCCTTGGAGGCTTGTTGAACTATAAAGAGACAGAGAGAGAAATCCTAAATTCATTGGGTGCTCCCATGTAGGATCTGAGATTAACACCAAAGGAGAGGAAAGAAGAGCTAAAGAGATGGTGAAATAAGTTTCTTGTAATAGTTCTTGGGATGCTGATCCAGCTATACCTGGAGCCAGCCAGAATCAGTCTTAGATATATGAACTAAACCCCCTCTTTTTGCTAAAGCCAGTGTGATTTGGGTTTCTGTTACTTGAAAACCAGTAAGTCTTGAGTAATAACTAAATTTACCTAGGAAAAAAGTGGCAGGCCAAGATTCAAATACAACAATGTCTTCTAACTTAAAATTTAATTATCTTTTCCATCACATCAGTGGTCTCATTTGCAGGGAAGAATGAGACTTAGGTAATGGAATAACTTAGAATAACATTTCCAACATATACATTTGCCCTCTATAGTCCCCTGCCCCCTAGGGAAACCAGAATGAAGAGAGGCTGAGGGTTGACAGTAAAAGGGAAATAAAGTTGAGAATATAAGCAAATTTATTTCAAGAAAGTTTCCTTGAGTGATTGATTCATTCCTAGCTCTAAAACAACTTTACAGTCTTATACTGCTTTGTTACATTGAGTGCCAAGAACTCAATTATGGTGTAGAAGTGAGATTCCAATTTAAAGCAGTGCCTTACACTTTATGAAACAAATAACTGGTTTCTGAGCTAGTAACAATGAACAATAAAGTAGAAAAATTTTCTTCTCTAAAGTAAATGATTGACTTCACTGGGTCCCTAGAATAAAATTAATTCTTAGAAGTACAGGAAGTAAGTGCATAGCAATTATGCTTTTGAAGAGGGAAATTCACGAATGACTACTGGAGGGCTACTGTGTCTTCTTACAAACAGAAACGACAATATCCTCAAAGATGTAGAAAAAACAAAGTACCGAGTCTGTCAGCTTCTGTGCAAATGTCATGTTCTTTGGAATGTTTACATAATTTTGCATGAATTTTAATAACACAGGCTATTTTGTTAATAAGTGTCAGGCATAATAAAGAGAATAAAATTGTTTTGAATATCACCTAGAAAAGAAAATGGGGTTTCAAGGATGGTTTTAGATCAAAAGGCTCAGGCAAACCTCTAAGCATGTCTGTGCCTACAGCAACATGGAAAATAGACTAGTTCTGAGCACTTAGCAGTGCCTGACTAGAACACCAAATTGAAAAGAACTATGAAGCTCATCTGGATCCAATGGGAAAGAATATCACAATTGACTATCTATGACTGTCATGGTCATGGGAATGGAAAATAGTACCTTGAATATACTGTACATATCTTCTCTGACTTAAACAACCCATGACTAATAAAGGCCTGCAGTTTTATCTTTCAACTCATGTGACCTCTTCTAAGTATTCTGAAATAATAATATTCACATTTGGCCATTATTTTAGAATAAAGAACAATTAAGTGGCTTATTTGGAAAGAGAAACTTTAAGCTGTGAATCCTGTGTCTGTCAACAACTATACTTCTACTGATCCTTTCAGGGAGACTTTGTCTCCATCTAATACAAGTGAACGGGCTGGATGGTAACTGATAACTTTCACTCTCAGGGAGAGACACTGTTTCATTCTGGGAAAAGCTAAGTTATGTTGACTTAAGATCTCTAATAGCAATCTTGCTTCTTCCAAGTATTGGCTGTGCATCCTTATGCTAATCATTTGACCTTTCTGGGCTTTGGGGTCCTTAGCTATACCACACAGAGACTTATTAGCTGTCATAATGCTCCATTGAAACAATGCACACAAACGTGCTTTGGAAATTGAGAAGTACTATAAAAATATGAGTTATTACGAGGCAAAAAAAAAAATCTGCAGCCTTCCTATTTAAAATTGAGAGATCTTTTGCAATTATAAGTCCCAATGGGTTTAACCATTTTACTTAGGATTACATGAACTCAATTCTACTATTCAGGGTGACAACAACTCAGTTAAGTTTTATATATTGATTGACTCACCTGATACCTTCAGGCTGGTTACCCTGTTGAATATTATTCCAGTCACCATACAGGTCGGTTACAGCTATCTTTATTAGCTCTCTCCCACTTGAAGAATGCTATTAGTCTAGACAGAATAGAATAGAGAGTGTTAATGTAGCCATTTTTTAACTCATAAGGCTGATATTTTCTTTACTCCAGCCTAGGCTTCCCCTGTTGACTCTATCTTTGACCTATGAACACAGGTTCTGAACTTGTGAAACCTCTAGTTATGCTCACTTTTTACTATTCAAGTGATTTTAGTGGACTCTATTCTTGTGTCTAAATCAGTATTTTGGTGGCCATCATTTTATGACCTGCACATTGTTTTCCCTAAACACTTCTGTTCTAATTTTGTAATTCTCCTTTCTGTAACTCATATATTTTTCTTATTTTTAAAAATCTACAAAAATAATAAAAACTTTAGAAGTATTATCTCATGTAATCATCATAACACACTTATCAGGTTTATAGATGGGAACATGAATACCCATGAAAGTTAATAGAACTTCCCAAGGTCATAGAGGTAGTACATAATGGAGATGAAATATAAATCCAGGTCTACATGATGCAAAAGCCTGCAACCCTTCCAGAGTATCCTGCTGCTTTTAAATCCTCATCCATATTGGAATTATCTTTGTTATCTTTACCTCTGATCAAGAATGTGCCAGAATGGCCTGTAACAAAATGTGTTTGTCTGAGAAACAGATATACCATTGTTGCAAGCACAATTTAAGTACTAGCCAACATTGCTGAAGTTGATGATCAGCTTGTGTCTTTATCTATAATATCTATAGACTTTAAACAGCAACAATAAAACAATAAAATATAGATCAGCATTACTGTTCATTCATTAGGACAAGAATTAGAGAATATTAAATGTCTCCATTTTCCTAGTTTAGAAGTGAAGATGCAGGTCGAAACCTTATCATTCTCATGGATTATGCCAGAGGTTTACAACAGAGATATTCAGTTTTTTCCCAAGACCCTAGGCTCCCAGAAGATTACCAGGTTTAGAGTTATAGAACTCAGAATAGGTTGAATCTTCATGTTTATTTTCCTACCTAATCATTTGAGAGAAAGTGAAATTTAAATCAGAAAGGTCAAGTGAGGCCAGGCATGGTAGCTCACTCCTGTAATCCCACCATTAATCTATGGACAAATGGCTGAGGCGGGCAGATCACCTGAGGTCAGGAGTTCGAGACCAGCCTAGCCAACAGAGTGAAACCCCGTCTCTACTAAAAATACGAAAATTAGCTGGGTATGGTGGCACGTGCCTGTAATATCAGCTACTCAGGAGGCTGAGACAGGAGAATCGCTTGAACCCAGGAGGTGGAGGTTGCAGTGAGCTGAGGTCACACTACTGCACTCCAGCCTGGGTGACAGAGCAAGACTCCATCTCAAAAAAAAAAAAAAAAAAGGAAAGAAAGATCAAGTCACTTACTACAATCACTGCAGCTAATACTACTCAGAGTGTCAGACTTGTAATGGAATATAAATCAGCATTTATGACTTCCTTCATCGAAGTCTGGCTACAAATAACCCCAGCTCAACTAAATTGTATGCTTATTTTATACATTTCATTACATTCTAGTTTCTTATGTAGTGCAGTCTAATAGCAGGTAGTATGCAAACTGGCAGTCCTTGGTCATATTTTGAGTAGCACTGACTGCAGCTAAGTAGTTTACAAGGCCAGAATTGGGAATTAGTTTCCAGCTATCCAAACCTACACTTTTTCAACTGAACTAGCATTTCCTACAATATTCCATGAAACAATATTCCCATAAGATGTTAAGTAATAGGTGTTCTACATTTTCTTAAGTCTGAAAAACAGTGGTCAAATGTAAATTTTTTCCTTGTTATACTGAATTTCTGGGTGGTTTTACTATGTTAATGTGCTCCATGACACTCAGAATGGAAGAGACCGTGTATTAGTTTTAAAACTTTATTGTA
The DNA here is from genome assembly GCF_000001405.40 of Homo sapiens. Classification (NCBI taxonomy): domain Eukaryota; kingdom Metazoa; phylum Chordata; class Mammalia; order Primates; family Hominidae; genus Homo; species Homo sapiens. The sequence continues at coordinate 152,535,838 of NC_000005.10, read as the reverse complement.
CAAACACTTATTAACAAAATTAATCCAAGTGACTCAAGGAATACAGTTTGGGAAACTGTGTCCTGTATAGTAGGATGTTACACAAGTGAAGATCTTACTAGGAGTTTAAGGTACAACACAAATGTATTTCCCCCTCACATTTAGACCAGATCAATCTGATAGCCTCTGACTTAGTACATGGCTTGGTGTCACATTTAGAAAAACCACTATTTTAATGTTCAAATTTTAATTAAGGAGTCCTTTGAGTCTGTATCAGGCTTCCTTGTAGTAAAATCCCAGGAAATACTATATTCGTCTATTTTCTATTGCTTAAAATGCAATTCCTAAAAATGGGTGATTTGATAAGGAAAATAAATTTATTTCTTAGAGTTAGGAGGCTGAGAAGTCTAGGTTGAGAGGCCACATCTGATGAAGGTCTTCTTGCTGGTGGGGGCTCTCTGTGGAGTTCCGAGGTGGTACAGGACATTACATGGCGAGGGGGTCAAGTGTGCTAACGTACTAGCTCAAGCCTCTCTTCCTCCTCTTATAAAGCGCCAGTTCCCCTCCCATGATCATCCATTAGTCTATGGACAAAGTAATCCATTCCTGAGGGCAAAACCCTCATGGTTCAATCATCCTGAAAGGCCCCACCTCTCAATATTGCCGCATTGAGGATTAAGTTTCAACATAACTTTTGGAGGGGACATCCAAACCATAGCAGGTATATTTCAGAACTCCTACCAATTTAAGATTTTCTCTGTATCCATCTATTGCATCTAAACCTCATTTATCATAGTAAAGCAACTGACTGTAATTCAAAACTGCAAAACTCTCTTCAACCCACCCCAAGCTGACTCTTATCTTTCTTATCCCACCCACCTTGGTTTTTTCCCCTCTTCTAAGAGACATCTTTGCTCATTCCAAACTAAATCCATCCAGCCTATCTGTGCTCACTTCCATTAGCTCTCTTACCCACAATCCTGCTTTTACAATGAATCCCAGAAACAGCGTGGCAGGCAGAATTCCACTTGGCAGGCAGTAAAGGAAGAAAAGCTGTGAACACTCATACACTAACAATTGTTTTCTCCAACATATACTTCTCATTAATCATGCAAAGGCTTAATCTACTCTCTCTTTCATATTTATAATTCACACTCATTTTCAGTCTATTGTATATGTTGGAATAAACAATTAGTCATGTATTAGTGTTTACACCTTTCTGCCTCCACTGCCTGCAATCTATTAAACTTCAATTACTGTGACCTGGTAGAGGACATGAACTTCCATGAATTATTCTAGGTTGATAACTTATCCTGCCTGGAATTCTCTGATGACAAGGAAGCTGATTTTACTGTCTGAGGTCCACTACGTAACTCACATTTTGAACTAAATACTATATACTCTCCAGGCGGGTTTCCACTCCACTCTATATCTTGAAAAAAGATCTTAAACAACAAGGACCACTATAACACACTAGAGTTCACACTATACCAGAAGCAAGACAAAAAAAATGTCAGCAAAAGACAAATAAAAGATCTAGCACAGTCTCTTTGAATAATAATACGCTGGATTGATACTTCCTGTTTACTTTTAAAACCCCTTATATTCAGAACTGGACTGGGAACAGAAAATTTAAGTTCTTATATCATCCATCCCTCAACCAAATGACATTGAATACATCCCTTAAAATTTATAATTCTCAGTTTCTTCATCCATAAAACGAGTCAGTCAAACTGAAGTCCCTCTTGGCTCTAAAGTAATGTGATTTTATAGTATGCCTCAAGGTCTTTTAGGTACTTCGAGCAGTGGTTAAATGATCAGGTTCTGGGTTTGAATCTCAGCTTTGCTATTTACTGCTTGTATGACCTTGAACAAATTAATTATTCTCTCTGGGTCTCACTTCCCTAATCTATGAAACTGAAATAATAATAACCTACCCTACAAATTTTGGAGATTAAAGTAATGCATTTAAAGTACTTCAAACTTAGTTCCTAGACCCTAGTTACAGCTCAGTACATAGAAATTATTATCAACACCATTATAGGTTTTTTAAAATTTATTCCACACCCATTAAATGTCTGGCATAGTGTTCAGTGAACAGGTGCTGATCTGGGTATATCTCAGGCCTATGTTCACTTCACTTCCAGATAAATATTCCTTAAATAATACAAAACTATTGCCTTTTAATCATTAACCTTATTTTGACTTCTTATGCCTAGTGCTATACAGAAACTTATTTATTCAAAGACTTAATGTAGTACTTAAGTGCTAGACACTTTTCTAAACACTGTAAAAATATAAACTCAATCTTTCCATAATCCTATGAGTTGAATATATTATCATCTCACTTTCTCTATGAGGAATTTGAGTTGGTAACATGCCCCAGAGTATGTTCCAACAACTAGTATGTGCCACAGCTGGGATTTGGACTCAGGTGGCCTGTCTGTAAAAACTGTGTTTGTCCCACCAGGCCACACTGCCAGCCTTACACGCTACCATTCTTGGACTTATCCCATCTTGAATGGTTAACTAGTCTCTTCCCATTCTTCTGAAAAGTCCAGGCATTTCACTCATTTACGTTGCTGTACATTTAACTCTGCCTTCCTTCCCACCCCTTTCTAACCATCAAGTGGCGTCTTCCAGGTTCAACGCTCTACAGACCCAAATCTAAGACATCCATCAAGACTTCTTGCAATTTTCTCCCTTTCGATGTTGTCAGCTGTTTCTTCCGCTCACTCTGATGTCTTCTGTCTTGGTCTATTTCACTTGCAAGCAAAAGGGATGGGTAACATGTAATTTTTTGCACATGACTCCTCCTGCACATCCCACTAAACTGTAATTACCAAGAGACCAGGGTCTGTAGGATTCTTTCGCATTTTGTTCTCATGGTTGGTGGTCTGTCTCAAAACAGCCCTAGAAATTCCCTTATAAGCTAAAACATTAGGATGTATAGCATTTATTCGATCCCATTTTCTCCTCAAAGCAAATCTGACAACAGATACAATAGTCTTATTTGGCATAAGCTAGCCTACAGTGACATCTGGTGGCTATATTCTTAAAAGGTTTACAAACATTCACTAAAAGGGTAAGGTTTGTTCCTTAAGGAAAAGTTGCATTATCTATCAAAGCATGTGTCAGAACTGAGCTACCCACCAAGAGGGCAGGAAGAATCTGGTGAGATCTACACTCAGTCCTGAAGTACGGAGCACCTCCCCTCAGAAGGAGAAAGCACAGAAACTGAGGACAACTACACAGAAGTTGAAGTTCTGTGTTCCAGTCCTGACTGTTAGTGCCTGGAGAGTAGACAGGCCTCTGTTTCTCTCTGGGCCTTGGTTATCTATTTTGTTTTAATGATGGAAATAAACTCAGCCTCTAAGTTCTTTCCTCCCTAATAAAACAGAATATAATCTACAAATAAATACATACAATTTCTCTCAAATATCTAGTGCCAAGTAAAGTTAGTTATGATTTCTCATTTAAACATCACCTGTCTTATACAAGTACATCATAGAATTAGCCAAAATTAAGAGGCTAAAATCTCTCTCATACCAGTAGTAACAATAGTACCATTCACAAGAGTAATAATAACCGCTAACAATGCTATGTAATATGTATTCTTGTATGTATAACCTCATACTGTTAGACACAACTGAGGAGCCTTAAGCAGCAGACAGTCCCAGATGGCATCTTATGACTCAGGATGCCTCTGCGGAAGAGGTTGGGTCTACACAAAAGCCTCATAGGGCCGGCCTTCATAGCTGGAGAGCATCAACATGGGATTACAACCCCGTCTGTCCTATAAGACTTTAATGCCTCTTCTCTTATCTCACAGCCCTACCTGTAGTCATACAGGAGGCAGAGCAGTCCTGTTAAGCACAAGTGAGCAAATGTCCAAGCTGTCCAACCATCCCTCGCCTTCTCCATTGGTAACCAAGCCTGGATTAGGCTCAACAGAAAAGGGGTAAAGGCAAAAACTGGAAGAACTCTTGAAGCTGATATTAGACTGGATGCCTGGAAAAGGATGCCTGGATGCCTGGAGAAGTTTATTACTACTACAAGTGACATCAGAAGCTATGGAATATACTCAAGGTACTGTCAGGGCTATAGAAAGGCGGTTTGACACAGTACAGAGTAACAGCAATAGTAAAAGAATAAAGTTGCTTTCTGTTGGAGGTTTACTTAATCTGCCTCATTCAATAACCATATTTACTATTATGGACTGAATAGAATTGCCCATTTTGAATGACGGGTAAGCAGAAGAAATAACCTAATACAGAACCTCTGAAAGAATGAAAGAGATATGGAATACGAGAGATAGCAAAGAAAATAATACATTCCAACTGCTTTTCCCTGTTAAGGAAATATGAATGCTCTAAAACATGAAATAAATCCACAACACACAATAAAAAGAAAAGTAACAGTACAGGAATACTGGTATTGCATATACTGTCTAAAAGGATGAGGAGTTAAAGCAGAAATGGCATTTATGAAAAATAGTAAGTCAGTGATGTTGCAGGCAGGCTTGAAAAAATCACATATAATGTTGAAGTCAAAAAAGACCAAAATAAAAATGATTAGTGAAAAATATAACTATGTAGACGGGAGCAGATACTAGAGGACCATTACAGGAACAATTGCTTCCCCTGAAAAAGAAGAAAAACTAATTGCAATAGAAAAAAATATTCAAATAGGTATTGGAAGAAAATAATTTAGAAGTGAAGGCAAGAGTTTATCTGAAGGTCCAACAGGTTTCTCATTTTCCAGGGAAATTTAAGAATGTCTGAAATCACAATTCTGCTTAAGTTGTTAGACTTTAACAATAAAAGTGTGTTACATTTGAGTCCCACTAGAATTGCAAAAAAAAAAAAAAAAAAAAAAAAGAAGAAGAAGAAAGAAAGAAAGAAAAGAAAAGAAAGAGAAAAAAAAGTATCTTAAAAGCATAAGGTACAGAAGTGGTTACTGAAACAGGAAGAAAAGAGATATCAGGCCCTGACTTCTGGGACAGTTTAGATGCAAATAGCTGAGTTATGCCTACTTAGTTTTAACAGGGAACTGCATATTTGTAAAACATTGCACTCAATAAATGGAGAAAACACATTTACCCTGCACTTCTCCCCTAAACTCCAAATTCATTCCAGAGGCTACTCTTTATCACCCAATTATCTAATAGACAACCCAAAAACAAAATTTCCAAAACCAAACTCCCAGTCTTCCCCTGACAATTAGGTCCCAGTTTCTCCACATTTAAGTTAACAAAAATGCATTTTCTCTTCACTCAAACAAAAAAACCCAGCAGAGTCATTTTTAACATTTCGTTCTACCACTCCGCACATCTGAACTATGTAGAAATCCCATTGGCTCCACTTTGAAAATAAAGCCTAATTTGAACATTTCTTACCACCTCCCCTGCCATCACCCTTTTCCACATCACTACTATTTGTAACCAGGATTATTAAACCAGCTTCCTAGTTGTGTCTGCTTTCATCCTTACCCCTAGTTGTTTATTCTTAGGGAGATCCTGTGTTTCATCCTCTAACTTGGGACATTTTTGAAAGTGAAAGGGGCTAGGACAATAGGCATAAACTAGGATCGTCCTGCACAAGGCAGGGCGTATGATCCTTCTACTTAATCTTAATACAGAAGCCAGGAGTGTTTTGTTTTCTGTTTTGTTTTTGAAATGGAGTCTCACTCTGTCATCCAGGCTGTAGTGCAGTGGTGTAATCTTGGCTCACTGCAGCCTCCACCTCCCGAGTTCAAGTGATTCTCCTGCCTCAGCCTCCTCAGTAGCTGAGATTACAGGCATGCACCATCACATCTGGCTGATTTTTGTATTTTTAATAGATAATGGGTTTCACCATGTTGGCCAGGGTGGTCTCAAACTCCTTACCTCAAGTGATCCTCCCCCCTCACATCTCAAAGTGCTGGGATTACAGGCATGAGCCACAGTGCCCATTCAGCCAGGAGATCTTTTTAAAACAAGAGTCCTGCCACTCCTGCTCAAAGGCTTCTCATCTCCTTGGCTTAAAAGCCAATGTCCTTCCAATGACCTACAAAGTTCTCCATGTTCTGGCTGCCTGACATCTCTGACCACACCTCTCTCTTTCCCCTCTCCCTTTACTCCAGCCACAAGTCCTACTTTTTCTGAAAACTGCCAGGCACCTCCTGCCTCCAAGCCTTTGCCTTGAGGCTCCTCCTGGAAATGCTTTCCCCTCCCCCATTGCCTCTGTGTGACTTACTCTTTCATTCCTAGCAGGCTTTGCTCAAATGTCACCTCATTAGCAAGTCTTCCCTGACAACCCTGTTTAAAATTGCAATCTCCTCCCCCAGCTCCCATGTCTTTTATTTATAGCACTTATAACTTGCCCATACTTCTATATTGCTTACTTATTACATTTTGCTGTTTGTCTCCTCTCATCACTGCCCCACTTGAATGTGAGTTCCACGAAGGCACATTTTTTTCCTGCTTCTTTTCTCTGACCTAGTCCTTATGATACAACAGTAAATGGAAATAAATGAAGACCAACCCAATGACAACAAGCAAGTCCTATTTGTTCAGAGCTTGCTGTAGTAAGGGAGCCAGCCACCACCCCTAGTGTTTTAACAGAGACTCAAAGGCAGGCAGGGCAGTGGAGAAGCTTTAGAGTGGATACACTGGAACACTTCAGGTGTGCCCTGACTGTAAGCTAGTGGTCTGGGGAGGCTGTAGGTCATTTACTAAATGTGGGGCATCCTATGTGATCAGTTAGGGGTATTTATTTGGCTTTGTCTGATCCAAAGTTGGTATTGATATGGGAGGGGGGCAGAGAAGTGCTCGACAGAGAAGGGCAGTGTCCCTGGTAAGGGCTCCACCCTCAGTCCTGTGCCCACAGACCTAAGTGAGAACAGGCACTCCTGTTTTCACACTCAAATGATGTATTTTCCAAGACCACTCTGGCCTGCCTTGGCCCCCATTTTGTGCCCATAAAAACTCCCAGACCATAGCCAGCACAGACACAAGCTGCTGGACGTCAGGAGGAGCAGAAGAGCACACTGACAGACACCAGTAGATACCGGCAGTCCATTGACGGCGGGACAACATGGAATTCGATCTGAGGCAGTTGGAAGAGAGTCCCGCAGCTGGGTGACCCGACTCCAGGGAAAGACCACCTTCCCACTCCATCCCCCTTCTGGCTCCTTATCCACCAATCTGAGAGCTACCTCCATCACTCAATAAAACTTTGCACCCATCCTCCAAGCTCACATGTGATCCCATTGTTTCGGTACACCAGGGCAGGAACCCAGGACACAGAAAGCCCTCTGTCCTTGTGATAAGGCAGAGGGTCTAATTGAGCTGATTAACACAAGCCGCCTGCAGACAGCAAAGCTGAAAGAGCACACTGTAACACAGGCCCACTGGGGCTTCAGGAGCTGTAAACACTCAACCTTAGATGCTGCCATGGGGTCGGAGCCCAAAAATTCTCCCCACGACCTGCCTGTATGTTCCCCACAGGGGTTTGAGCAGCGGGGAACTGAAGAAGCAAGCCACACCCCTGTCACATGCCCTGCGAGAGGGATAAGGGAACTTCTTCCATTTCCATATGTTATTTATATCATAAAAGTGTTGATTAAAGAAAATCTCCTTATAATGTTTAAGGTTATAATCTATAAAGACACGGTTATCATTCAATCTTTTAGTACTGAAAGATATAATATTGATATCTATAAAGTACCATCTACAGACAGTGGAGGTAAAATCTACAAAAAAAAAAAAGTAGGAAACTGTTCATCTCTTATAAAACTTGACCTTTCAGGTGAGTAAAAAATTATTAAGGAGACTTCAAAAATATAGTAAATATATTGTAAAGAGATAATATAAACTTTTCAAGTACTTTTTTAAGCCGCCTAATATAGCACTAAGAAAAATTTTTAAACAAAATTATAAAGGAAGAAACTGACTTTATTTTTTAGTCATAATGAAACTCGAATAAAAAGCAAAAGTGAAACAGGAAATATGGGATCAGCAATACTAGCAACTCCTGAAATGTAACTGAACAAAACAGAGAGATGCAAACCTCTCTCATAATAGCTCTTATATTACAAAGGATAGCAAAATTTCAAGTATAGACTTTGCTTCTAGCAATATAGTGAACTAGATTCCTTAATGAGACCTAGATAAGTTATGACAAATGTGTTATTTTTTTTAGTTCATTGCTAAGCACTCAAGAAAATAAGGCCATATAAACAGTAACAGTGAAAGCAACCCAGTGAGAACAAGCAAAGCACTAACACCACAGCATCAATCAAATGTATAAATCAGGACTGCTTTCAAGGCAATGCTGAAACAGGAAGGGAAATCGGAAATGAGCAACTCCAGGCCTTTGAGAAGTACTGGAGCTGAACTTAGACTCCTACATTAAGCCAGGGGTTCACAGGGGGACTATACCCTGCAAGAGTCTGCTTACCAGCAAAGGGAGGCCACTGGGAATTCTGGCTGCAATTGTTTCCATATGCAGTTTCCCTTGAGAACTGTAGCTCTTGGCCTGCTCTCACCTGGGTCTGGAGTTAGAATGAATACCATCTTTCTGGTCAGAAAGAAATCCCAAGCCAAGGAAATAAAGTAGCCCCTATGTGGTAGCATCTCCTGAGGTCCAGCAGAAGCAAACACAAGTACACCACAGAACAATGCATCCCAAATTTTGGTCGTTTAGTGTTCTTCAATAAGTTCAGCTTTAAATGACTTCATGAAAGGTAAAACAATAACAGAAATAAATACATGAGGAAGCAAGAAACCATAAATGAGATTAAGCAAATTTAGACTCCAGAGGACTTCAAATCTTGAAATTATCAAATAGAGAGTAAAGATATAATAATATTTCAAAACCAAGAAATTAAACAAAAAAAGCAAGAAAACACATTTAGGAGGGGATTCTCTGAGTAGCTTGAAAAGGGGATGCCAAGGGGAATGTGCTCAGGCATCTTGCCACAATGGTATTGTTGTGTGTCTTAGGTTGGGGGATAGGATTGCAAGTGTGTGGTTATTCTGTGCCATAACACACATTCAATATTACAAATAACAATTCTCCCAAATACTACATGAAATATAACTTAAGTGTTAAAAAACATTTAAGAATCTTTGTGTACATGTTTATTCTTGTTTTCTCCTAAAGCCTCACCAAAATGATACTTAAGATATTTTTAGAGTTATTTAAAGGTATTTTTAATCAACCCAGAAGGACAAAGAGATAAACAGTTGAGGTGACAAGAGACACATAGCTGAGGATGTGGGGAGGATGCTTCCAGGAGTTCTCCAGCATCTTGTCCTCACTGTTGGGTCTCTCCAATTGCAGCTCCCTGATGTAGGGGTACTTCTCCTCCAGCTGGCTGCTCCCCAAAGTATACTCCACAGCACTCCACAGCCTCTTAATGTAAGGCTTCCTTTTTCCTGCCAGGCTGTCCTCTGAACAGCACCCCTTTTGACTCATCATCAGAGAGGACTTCAGTTATGTCCTGGACCACTTTCCCTTTCTCAGGTATGACTCAGGACCCAATGCACATTTCCTCCAATAGTTATATCTCTTTTATTATCCCATAAATTCTAGCAAGTGTTCATTGCTTCCTTTCATGATGGCAGAGGATTAGACAGAAGTTCCCTAGAAAGCAGTCGCAGCTAAAAGCAGCAGTACTACAATGCAAACAAAGATTAAACACCATGTGCATCAGGTAGGATAAGTCACCAAAAAAAGGCACACCAAGGCACATTGTAGTATTACTGCAAAACATTAAAATCAAAGAAGAGGACTTAAAATCTACCAGAGGGAAGAGATCAGTTTCTGGCAAAGAGCAACAATTATACTCGCAATAAGCTTCTCAATAGCAAAAATGAAAGACAGAGAATAAATGTCAATCTAGAAATATGCATCCAATAAAACCAGTTAAATATTTTCGGAAAAATAATTCTTAAGAGCTTGCCAACTGTAGAACCTTAATAAAGAAATTTTCAAAGGATATATTTCATGATTATAAAAACTTGAACAATGACCTAGAAAGTAGTTCTGAAATTTTAACAAGGGAACAAACAAATTGGTAAATGTGAAAATAGGTATGAACCTTGTATAAAATAATAATGTCAGTTTGTGGGCTCCAAAAACATATAAATGCTATGTAAAAATTACATGTAAATTAAAAGTAGAGTCATCAGAGAGAACACATTCTCAGTTCCCTGTGATTTTAGTAGAGAAGGTTAATATGTTGATTAACTGTAATTTTTAATAATGTTTAACTTCTACAATGAAGTAGAAACTAGGTAGTCATCATATAAGTTACTTTACTTCTGTCTCCAATTTCTTCTATCAGCAATTTCCTACTCAATGTATGTTGTTCTTTTTCTATCCCTGAATGAAAATTCTTGTAGTCTGAGACTTTTCTTACCACTTTTAGATAATCAGGAGTCACACACTTTTTAAGACACAAAACTCAGTCTCAAACCTGTAAAAAGCAGTTTCTAATCCAGTGCATTTATAAAACATTCATCTTTATTGCAAAGCGAGTTTTCTTTCTTTTCATCCAAATAAGATCCACTTGTAGATACATTGCCTTTTGGCTGTGAATGACAGTAACAGGTTCATTTTCTGAAAGAGAAACACATTACTGGTGTTTTTTCTTCCAGGTTGTCAATGGTGACTGTTGAATATTGGGTCCTAGTGACCTCTGTTCCTTCTTGGTTCTCAAACTGAAAAAATCTTCTTTGGGGAACCTGATAGGTGTGCAAGGAAAGACCTAAAAGCACTGACATTTGGGGGATCCCCCAAGAACACAGTCCTTCCAGATCAACCTCAGTAAAGTCCGTTGTTGACTAGCTCCAACCTGAGGCTCACCACTTCTGCCCGATCTCACAGGCCTGTCTTTAATAAGAAAAAAACCACCAATGATCCTAAAACATTTGAGAAAATCCTCTTACAAAGATCCAAACCCCAAATATAAAATGCAACTGACAGAAGAAAGCCAAAACTATGCACTGTGATGAAGCTTAAACAAAATCTCACTGATAATCTCAAATATATTCAGAACAAAAACAGATTTTTCATCCATAAATCAAGTGGAGAATATAAAAAAGGGTTAAGTTGCTGAAAGCCAAACAGAGCTCTTGCATATTAGAAATAGCAGCAGAAATTTAAGTCACAAAAGGGCTAGAAAACAAAGTTTAGAAAAACTAGAAAGTAGAACAAAAATACAGAAATAGAAAAGATAGGTTTAAAAAATAACAGGCCAGGCATGGTGATCTGTAATCCAAGCACACTGGGAAGCTGAGGTGGGTGGATCACTTGAGATCAGGAATTCGAGACCAGCCTGGCTAACATGGTGAAACCAAAAAATACAAAAATGAGCTGGGCATGGTGGCATGCAGCTGTAATCCCAGCTACTCGGGAAGCTGAGGTGGGAGAATTGCTTGAACCTGGGAGGCAGAGGTTGCAGTGACTGAGATCACACCACTGCACTCCAGCCTAGGGGACAGAGTGAAACCTAGGGGACAGAGTGAAACAAAACAAAACAAAAAGTGCCCAAAATCAGTTCAAGTATACCAACATCCAAATAGAAATTCCAGAACTAAATAAATTTAGGAAAAAGTAAACCAGTAAAATTATTTTTTTACATGTCCTAGACTGAAAGGGCATGTAGTTACCCATCAAAGGGCCCACAAAATTCCCGGAACAGTAGATGAATCAGACACATTCCAAGACACCCACATATGATGACATTTTAGGACACTGCTGACAGAAACTAGTAGAGTCTACAAGGTTTCAGAGATGGGGTTGTGGAAATCACTGTTAGGTTTTTAAGCATAATATATCAAAACTGAGTTTTTTTATTCACTCCCCCTTCAATCCACAAATCAGTTTCTTTCCATCTTGCATATCTTTGTAAATGGCCCTATCATCCATATAGTTGTTCAGACACTGATCCTTGATCCCTCACTTTTACATTCTACTTCTCAGGAAGTCCTATTGACTCAACCTTTAAATTCTTACCTTCATCTCTTTCTCTCCATCTCCAGTATCTGCCTGCTTCTCTATTCCTAGCCCCATCTCTTCTTACCCAGGTTATTAACTGGTCTCCTGGTTCTCCCTCCTGCTCCTCTCCAACCGGGGAAATTTTTTTTGGATGTATATAAGATCAATGTCACTCCTCGGATAACAACTCTTCAATAACTTCCCATTTACTCTTAAGATAAAGCCTAACCTTGCCGTGGTGAGTTCAAAAGATTGTGTAGTTTATCAAGGGAAAAGATGACCGTGAGGTAGCAGTAGGACACAATGAGGTCTGACAGGTTTCTTTGGGCTGGGTGATACTTCTTCACAGTCTGAGACCTTCCAGAGGCTACCCCCACTCAGTCCAGAAGAAGAGGGCAAGGAAACTCCCAGGGCAAGGGTGATCAGAAGAGAGATCAGGATCTAGGTGACGTTATTCAGCAGCATCACAAGGAGGTCAGAGAGCACCAAGAGCAGCAGAGGCTTAGGCTTGGGGTCTCTTATAGCTCTGAGGTTTATCTTATCTATGGCTAGCAGAGGTCTGGTACGGAAGCAGCCATGTTCTAAATGGGAGTTAGGCTATGTGATCTCTAGGCCCTTTTAAACTCTTCTATAAATCTTCTAGATATTTAAGTATTTTTTTTCAGTCAATTGATTGGTTCATTCACGTGTTTGTTCACACATCCATTAAGCATTTGTTTAGTAACAAGCACTGTACTGGAACTGGGAAACCAAGTGAGAACAATGCAGGCACGATCTTTGCCATCATGGTTCTTATGGCCCAGTGGGCAACAAAAGTAACTGCATCACAGTGTGGCAGGTGCTATGATTACTGCAGTACAGAATGCCATGGTGAGAGGCAGAAGGGCCACCTTGATTACCACAAGGAGTAAAGTAAGCAATGCTTTTCAGTGATAGTGACGTCTAGACTAAAACCTAGCACCAGATGGACTGGGTAGGGGTGGGATTAAAGTAGGGAGTTTGTGGAGTGCTGTCTTTCAGAGCAAACTCTGCAGAAGCCTGTATAGATAGAATATATGATATGAAATGGCTGAAAGGTAAGATTCACTTTAGGAAGTGGTAAAGTCTGGGGCTGGAAGGTGAGCCATGACTTGAATGGGATATACTGCTTAGGCATGTTAAAGACAAGAGAATTCTGGGAACCCATCCCAAGTGCACTGAGAAGCCACTGGAGGGGTATTACTGAAGATTTCTATGCTATGACTTCCCATTGAGAAGGATTAGTCAGCTCACAGCTTAAAAAAATGGTTGGAGGGAGGCCATATTTGAGGCAGGAAGACCTGTTAGAAAGCTATTGCAGTAGTTCAAGAACAATGATGATGTCCTGACTTAGGATAAAGGTGGTGAGAATGAGCGCTCTGAATGGATTCAGGAGAACCTGGGTATCGATCAATACAGCATCAGATGGATTCAAGAGTACTTTATGAATTATATCAATAGGACTTGATTGATACAAGAGGTGAGAGGGGAGTGAGCCAAGGATGAAGCATTCCCATGGCTGCCTGTTTGCTGAGCTGACTTTCCTGTGGCATTTCAATCCAGAGCTGGTTTTCACCACCGCACCCTGATATGGTACTACTGTTGTCCATACAGGACAATCTGAACACTTACTTTACAAGCTGGGAAACTTACATCAGGAAAGAGGTGTGATCTGTCAGGAGTGCATTAAATTACTCCTATAGTTTAACATCAATTCTAAAGTAATGGGATTCTATACCTTCAGATATTTTAGTGTTATTCAACTATCAGAACAAAATACTTCAAATCCTAGTTAAATATAATCAATGTATTTTGGAACTAAGAGATACCTGAGAGGTGATGTGGTTTAAAATTCTCACCGAGTACACAAGGACACTGATGCCTAGAAACAGGGTGGGATTTTCCCAAGTTACGTAAATAACAAAATGAGGTCCATAATTCAGGTTCCTAAATCTGTTCGTCCCAATTCTTTTACTCTATCTAGCAGAATTCAAGACATAGTAGACTCTGAAATCTGAATTTTGGATGTGAATCGACACTCCTCCATTTACTAGCTTTGTGATCTCATGAAAGTTTTGAAATATTTGACGACTCAGTTTCCTCAAATTAAAATTTAAAAAATTAGGGCCAGGCATGGTAGCTCACACTTGTAATCCCAGCACTCAGGGAGGCCAAGATGGGTGGATCACTTGAGGTCAGGAGTTTGAGGCCAGCCTGGCCAACATGGTGAAACCCCACCTCTTCTAAAAATACAAAAATTAGCCAGGTGTGGTGGTACATGCCTGTAATCCCAGCTACTCAGTGGGGCTGAGGCAGGAGAATCACTCAAACCTGGAGGCAGAAGTTGCAGTGAGCTGAGATCATTCCAAGGCACTCCAGCCTGGGCGACAGAGCGAGACTCTGTCTCAAAAAAACAAATAAATAAAACAAAAGAAAATTAGAAAAATTGTAATATCTACCTCATAGGATAATTATGGGGTTTAAATGAGATATGTAGAAGTGCTTGGGATAGTGACTACACATCAAACATAGCAGTAATCATTAGCTGTTATCAATGTTTTTAATATTATCTTTTAATATTTTTAAAATTACTGTTCATAGTCTACTTTCACTTACCCCCACCTTCTTAAGTCCTAGTGAATTAGAATATAGATATTATAGGTGAACTCTATATTCAGACATTTTTTTATTGTCCTGAATTTATTATTTTCATGATACCCTTGTTTCCTATCCCTATCCTTATGTTTCAAGACTAACGCCAGTTTAGTTTTTGTAATACCTTCTCTGAGCACTCTGCTTTCTGAGTTCTTTCTCTCCTGCTGTCTGCAATTTACAGTTTAACACTGAATCATATTGTGTACATTGCCACAGCTGGTCTTGCCCCACAACTAGATTAGAAGAGCAAAAGACAATGACCAAGTTTATCTTTTAAATTCTCCCCTTCCCCTTCCATCTACACAACCCCTCCCCAACACACACGCGGGCACGGGCACACACACACACACACATACACACACCCCTGGAAAAACTCTGCATTTGTACGAGGATACCAAATTGCTTTGGTGAATAAATTCAGATTCAAGATATTCACTTGTAGCCTAGTCTTTGTTAATTACTTTTTTCTACCATTCTTCTCCAAGTTTTGGCCTCCACTGTAGCATGTAAATTGAGCAGAAAGAGTAGAATATCCCTCTTCCTCAGCACAGAATAACGTTTCAAATTTATTTACTTTTTTTAATGAATTATTTTTTGTTGTTGCTGGTGTTTCTTAAGAACACATTTTCTTCCACTAGACGGCATTAATATCACTACACTGATCTTAGAAAAAATTTGTGAAAAAATGTGTTAAGGCAACAAAACGAAGACCTTGATATAGACATGACAGTAACATACAACCTATCTGCTGTGATGTAGTATATATGAAATAGAGGAGTTGATTTTGAGGCCTTGTCTATAGAATTTAATACAATCAAAAATGGTCTACGTGTCTTACAAAACTAAATATACTCTTACCACATATATATTCCAGCAATCTTGCTCCTTAGTATTTGTCTAAATGATCTGAAAAAAAAAAAATCGATGTCCACACAAAAACCTGCACACAAATGTTTATAGCAGCTTTATTCATAATTGCCAAAATTTGGAAGCAACCAAGACGCCCGTCAGTAGGTGAATGGATAAATTAACTGTGGCACATCCATGCAATGGAATATTATTTAGCACTAAAACGGAATGCACTATCAATCCATGAAAAGACATGGAGGAAACTTAAGTGCATATTACTAAGTGAAAGAAGCCAATATGAGAAGCCTACATGCTGTATGATTCCAACACATGACATTCTGGAATAGATACGACTAAGCAGGTATTTGAAACCTCAGTGGTTTCCAGGAGTTACAGGAAAGAAGGGATAAATAGGTAGAGACAGAGGATTCTTAGGGCAGTGGAACTACTCTGTATAATACTGTAATGGTAGATATATGTTATCATATAATTGTTCAACCCCATAGAACATATAACACTAGGCGCTAGCCCTAATGTAAATTGTGGATTTTGAGTGATAATGATTGTCATTGTAGATTTATCAATTTTAACAAACATGCCACTGTGGCTGAGAATGCTGGTGGTGGAGGCAGCTGTGGGAAGGAGGGGGTGTATGGGAACTCTGTTTTCTACTCAATTTTGCTGTGAATATGAAACTACTCCAAAAATAAAGTCTATCTAAAAAAATGTTCAATTACACTGATTCTTTGTATCCACCCGCCCTTCAAATCATCCACACAAAACTCAAACCCAATAGACATACCCTTTCTTGGCCTGTCACTTATTTCACCCAATAGGAAATCCCATAGACTCTGCCTTCAATATATACTTGGGATCTGAGCACTTCTCACCAAATCCACTGCTATCACCTTGCCTCTCCATCCTCATCTATCAACTGGATTGTCACTACAGTCCCCCAACTGGTCTCCTTGCTTCCACTCTTCCTTCTCAGTGCATTCACAAAACAGAAGTCAGAGTGAATCCTACTAGAGCAGAAATTGGATCTTCTCACCCTCCATAGTGGCCTCCCTTTACTAGCTTCAAATTGTAATTAAAATCAAATCTTTATTATATGGTCTATAAACCCCAAATAACCTGGTCACCACCTACCTCTTAAACCCATCTTATAGTCTCCCCCCCAGGGTACTGGCCTAAGCTGCCCTCTCCAGTGACTCTTCATCTTATCACTCTGTTCATTATCTTTACATGTTTATAGTCATCTGATATTGTATTTTGCATGTGTATCCTCTGAGACCCCACATGAGAATGGCAAATCCATGAGTGTGTTGGACAGACTTTATGGGTGCTGCCATAATCCCCACCTTCTGGTCTTCTCACCCTGTGTTATCCCTTCCCCTTGAATGTGGGTTAGACTGACTGATTGATTTGAGATGGAATCTCACTGTGTCACCCAGGCTGGAGTGCAATGGCGTAATTTCGGCTCACTGCAACCTCTGCCT
The DNA here is from genome assembly GCF_000001405.40 of Homo sapiens. Taxonomy (NCBI): domain Eukaryota; kingdom Metazoa; phylum Chordata; class Mammalia; order Primates; family Hominidae; genus Homo; species Homo sapiens. Next base: position 152,518,851 of record NC_000005.10, on the reverse strand, counting down.
CCCGGGTTCAAGCAATTCTCTCACTTCTTCCTCCCTAGTAGCTGGGACCGCAGGCATGCGCCACCATGCCTGTCTAATTTTTGTATTTTCAGTAGAGACAGGGTTTTGCCATGTTGGCCAGGCTGGTCTCGAACTCCTGACCTCAAGTGATCCACTCGCTTTGGCCTCCCAAATTGCTGGGATAATAGGCATGAGCCATCACACCCGGCCTGTGGGTTGGATTTATGACTTGCTGGTGATGACATCTCATCACCAGTACAATACAGTAAAGGTGATAAGATGTCACTTTCTTGATTACGTAAGGTTGTAATGTACTTCTTGTTAAAGCTCTCCTCCCTTCTGGCCTTCAAGAAGCAAGCTACCATGTTATAAGATACCCTATGGAGAATGCCACATGGTAAGGAACTTCAAGGTGGCCTCTGGCCAACAACCAGCAAGAAACTGAAGTTCGTGGTCCAGCAGCCTGCAAAGAATTGAATGCAGCTAACAACCATGTGAGCGTGGAAGCAGATTCTTCCCAAGATGAGCTTTCAGGTGAGACTGACTCTGAATAGTTAGAAGTATAATGAGTATAGAGAAGTAGTTTAGGGCTCCAAGGGCATGTGTGTAATGGGGAAATGATTATAATCCTTAGGGACCTAGGACTTTTCTGATATTTTTTGAGGAAATAGTTAAACTAAATTGAAGGATGATGATTTAACCAGAAAGAAGGATCATTTGGCATTAAGTACACAAATTTGGCTGGATAATTCTCTACATCTTATTTTACATCAACACCAGGGTCTTAAAAATATTTGCATAGAGTTTCATCTAGTATTCAGATCTCAGTTTCTAAATATCATGCTCCATTCCTTTTACTGCTAATTCCAGGTTAGGTTAGAAATGATACAGGAAGGGTCTGGGGCACCTTGTGCCAGAAAGCAAGAAGTACCTCAAATACCCGGAAGAGCAGAGCAACCAGCCCATCGGGGCTCACATTGACCACATTTCAGACAACACGGGATTGGGTAAAAAGATAAGGATGGCAATAAAACACTTCGAATAAAAATTTCAAAATCTTGGGTCCATAGTAATACCAAAAAAGTAAAACAACAACAAACAAAGCTCTTTTAAAAGACAGCCAGATAATCAATGCAGGAAAAAAGAGGAAAATTACCATTCTTCAACCTCCCTGGTAATAACTGATTCAGTAAAAGTTTGTTCATCAATAGGTGTGTAAAACTTTGGGGCCAAAATATATTTGCATACAGAATGTTTACAGTTTCAAAATATCACCCCACAAATTACTAAGTGTAACTGAGTATATATACCTTTATGATTAAGGAGTCTCCAGCTTAACCAAGCGATCAAGTTTATATCACCAATAGTTGAAATATACCTCCTCATTAGACACAGTAAGAAGTATACATATTGCCTCTGCAGTATTATAACTAAAAATATTTAACTTGAATCTAGTTATAAGCAAAAATCATAAATCCAGAATGTGGGCCATTCTACAAGACAATTTGCCCACTCTTCAGAAAGTCAACATCATAAAAAATAAAACATTTGGTTTTAGGAGTACTATTCTAGATTACAAAACTCAGAGATTGAACAACCAAATGCAATACATTAACCGTGGTTGAATCTTGGATTTAAAAATATTTAATGTGAAAATATTCAGGAGAATTAAAGAAATTTGAATGTAAATGTTATTAGACAACATTATGAAATTATTAATTTTCTTAGTTGTGTTTATGGGATTATGGATGTATGAAAAACTGTCATTTTTAGGAGATACATGCAGAAGAATTTAGGAATGGAGATTACGAGGTATACAACTTTCAAATGAGGTATATAACATTTATCAATGTTAAGATTTACCGATGTTAACAACTGGTAAATCTAGAAGTGTATTTGGGTACACAGTGAATGATTTTTCAACTTTTCTGCAGATTTGAAATTAAACAGTAAAAAGGACAGCTGAATTAAAAAAAATATTTCTTCCAACAGAGAGAAGGGAGGAAAAAGGAAAGAAAGGAAGCAAGAGAGAAGAGAGAGACTATGCCTATAGAGTGCTTTATTACGCTTCATCTCTACTTTTTATTTATATAAATTTATGGGGTACACATACAATTTTGTACCCAATAAAGTTTGCATAGTCAGGACTTTTAGACTATCCATGACCCAAATGACATTCATTGTACACATTAAGTAATTTCTCATCATCCACCTCTAACACATCCTGTCCCACTTCTGAGTTTCCACTGTCCACCATTTCACTCTCTACATCCATGTGTACACACTTTTTAGCTCCCACTCATGAGTGAGAACATGCAATATTTGACTTTCTGTATGCTTCATCTGTCTTAAATCTTCCAAGAACCTTGAGCTGAATAGCACATTTTTACTGTCTCTATTCCAGAAATGTAAAGACAAGCAGACCCCAAATAATGCAGCCTGGAAGGAGAAGAGCCGTAACTCAAAATAAATGGTACACTACTCCAGTATCCTTAAATATCTAACCTGGCAGTTACAGGTAGTAAAACTTTTTTCATCTCCCCTCCAATTTCCTCTCCCCTCTAATTTATTTTATTTATGGGAAATAGGAACAAAGGTCAAAACTTAATAGCTGAATAGAAATGAGATAAAAACCCATGAAATCATAAAACTTCCATAACCTAATCATCATGCATATGTATTTAACACATCTCTAAACAGCAGGTAGAGAGATTTTTTTGAACCTACAGTAAGATACTGATAAGTCAAATACCCTGAGGTAAGTAGTGCTTCCATGGTGTGTGATAATAGCTTCCTGGACGTTTCCCTGAATACCTGGAAAAATTTACCACTGACATTCATCTCCTTTTGTAACTATGAATCTAGAGAGGCTAGTTCGAGAAAATTTATACAATTTGGAATGGATTCCTTTTCATTTTTTTTTTTTTGTGAGTGTTATGAAAGACAACACTTAGGCCAGGTGCAGTGGCTCATGCCTGTAATCCCAGTACTTTGGGAGGCCAAGGCAGTTGGATCACCTGAGGTCAGGAGTTCAAGACCAGCCTGGCCAACGTGGTGAAACCTCATCTCTACTAAAAATACAAAAATCAGCCAAGTGTGGTGGCAGGCACCTGTAATCCCAGCTACTTGGGAGGCTGAGGCAGGAGAATCGCTTGAACCTGGGAGGCGGAGGTTGCAGTGAGCTGAGATCAGCTGTTGCACTCCAGCCTGGGTGACAGAGCCAGTCTCAACAAACAAAAAACTGGAAAGAAAGAAAGAAAGAAAGAAAGAAAGAAAGAAAGAAAGAAAGAAAGAAAGAAAGAAAGAAAGAAAGAAAGAAAGAAAGAAAGAAAGAAAGAAAGAAAGAAAGAAAGAAAGAAAGAAAGAAAGAAAGAAAGAAAGAAAGAAAGAAAGAAAGAAAGAAAGAAAGAAAGAGAGAAAGAGAGAGAAAGAGAGAGAGAGAGAGAGAAAGAAAGAGAGAGAGAGAGAGAATGCTCTGCTACAAGGATAGAAAGGTCTGAGCATTGAACATGGACTTGGGAGGCCTGGGTATAAGTCATCATACCTGTGTGACCCTAACGCATTGCTGCCCTTTTCTGGGCTGTAAGAGAGGAGGTTGAAGATGTTAATCTCTGGTTCTCTTTAGTGCCAACATCCTGTGCATCTGAAACCCCAAGATATCCCTTGGTCTTCTCTTTGATACTTGCCGACTCAGAATTCATCTGGAATATTGGTCTGACCTCTGTTGTATATTTAAATAAATCACCCATTAATATCACTTATTTTAGATAGTTTTCACAAAACCAAACCTGACTTTTTTTTTTTTTTTTTAGCTGAAGGTGATTCAGAGTCCACTAGATGGCAATCTTGCCCATTTTTTTTCTAGGACCTATAAGGTTTGAAACCCTCTCTCCAACATTTCCAGAATATGTACTACATGCTCAATAGAAGGTCTCAGCCCCTCCTTTTATGGACTTCACAATGCAATAACCTTTCTGAGAACTCAGTGTCATCCAATTTTTAAAATCAATAATCAGTACTTATACACATTTTTTTATAGTCAAGATACAGCACTATCACAATTACAATTAAACATTCAAATAAAAATTGCCATTGAGGAAGAAGAAAAGCAGTAGGGAAACACAAGTGCTTCTAACACTTCTTACTCCTGTCTACTACTTTGATTTCCATTCTCAATGACTTGCTGGTGAACTCTGAAGAGAACTACAAGCTTTTCCCCCTTAAAGTCCTCGTATAGCTAGAAGACAGAGACTAACAGCATCTAAGGGGTAGGTGAAACGGCCTCACTTAACTTGGGAAGAGAAGTTAGGTTAAAAGCCTCTAGCGCCTAAAAGAAAGGGAGCATATTTTAGTCTGCCACTGACAGTGAGACCTTGAACAAGTTTAAGCTCTTTGAACCACAGCATTCTTCTCAGTAAAATGGGGATAAGATAACTTACAGGGGTTGTGTGAGGAGTAAATAAGTAAAGCTCTGAGAACAGTGTTTGAAAGTAAGTGTTCAATCAACAGTTACTACTGCTGCTGGTACAGCTACTATTACTAACGTTTCTTAACATAATATTTCAGGCTTGCTGTTGATTATATTGTTGCCATTAATGATGATTGGCCTAATAACTATTTAAGTAGTGCTACAATAATTCTTTTATATCAACTATTTAATTCAAGCCTAACAACTCTACAAGATAAATATTATATACACCTAAGAATAAATGAGGCTTGAATAAGTTTAGTAACTTGACCTAGTCACGTAGCTTTAGATAGCAGGGTGGGAATTCTAATATACGCTCACTGACCATAGAGACAGGACTTTAAAGAATACAACCAAACTACAGGCTGTAACCCTATGATGGGAAGAGGACAAAGTGTGACCTCTATTTTACAGTCTCAGAGTTTCAGCTGCTTGACAAGGTAACAGTATTAAGAGCATGCTTAGTACCAGAAATCTAGTCCCTTCACTTTTAGCCCCACAGCTATTATCTTATACCAGCACTATGCACAGTGCACATCAAACTGTTTGACTAAGAAACACTTTTGCCAAAAAGTATCCTGAAGGCTCAGTGTCCTATGAAACACACTTGCTAAACAATTCTGTATGCTGACACTTTTCTTAAAACAGTATTTGGTCATTGGCTGGATGTGGTGGCTCATGCCTGCAATCCCAGCACTTTGGGAGGCCGAGGCAGGCAGATCACTTGAGGTCAGGAATTCAAGACCAGCCTGGCCAACATGGTGAAACCCTGTCTGTACTAAAAATACAAAAATTAGCTGGGCGTGATGGTGGGCACCTGTAATCCCAGCTACTATGGAGGCTGAGGCAGGAGAATCGCTTGAACCTGGGGGCGGAAGTTGCAGTGAGCCCAGATCAGGCTACTGTACTCCAGCCTAGGCAACAGAGCAAGACTCCATCTCAAAAAAAAAAAAAAAAAAAAAAAAAAAAAAATCTAAAAACAAACAAAAACCCACAATGCCTGGTCAAGTAACTGGTACTTCGACCAAACACAGAGTTCTGGCATGGTTATAGCTGTCACTGAATGGCCCTGGATGACATTTAACATGAATAGAAATAGGATGGTGATTTCATTATACCCAGCCTCTTTGAACGCAGCTTAGGAAGTAAGACAGAAAGCAATATCAAGAACATTGATGAAAAATAAATCTCAGGAGGCCAAAGCCAGTGAAAATGGTATACTGGGATGAGAGTGGACAATCGGTATTTACTATACTAAAATTTGTTTCAAAGGTACAGGATCACTGAATCACAAATACTAAGATCAGGAAATGTGTTCAATTTATTCTTTTCTCAGAGAGATGTGTTCTTCTCAAAGTAGGCCAGAGTCAACATTTCCTTAACAAGGCAAAAAACAAGATTTGCCAAATTAGGTGAATATCAAACAGCTTTCATAGTACAACTTTTACAACCAGAAAGTGCAGTTAGATCTAACACAAATTCTCTTGTTTAGAATTTTAAGTATTTTATGAAGATAGAAAACATGTTACAGTTCCTTTGCTGTGCACTTACCTTTATCTATGTACTCTTCCCATTCACTCCTCTTATCTTTTCCACTCCTTTCTACCCTTTGTGTGATCTTAATATAAATTGTGGTGGCACACCCTCTAGGCTTCGTTCTATGTCATATTCAGGAATGAGCGATCAGAAGCAATTACAAGTGACTGCAATCCTTACTGGGGTTCCTCAAAAAAGTTATACAAGGAGCTTCAATTCAGTCCACAAAAATATTCCTTAAAATCTTCTTTCTGTCTTTACACTTACCATATGTTTTTTTTTTAATCTCACACATTCTCCAAAGCCTCTTTTCTGCCCCATTACTTGCAACCTCCCTAAAACTCCTGCTAAAATTGAACTCCCTCATGTCTCTTTATTTTCTGTCTCCTGTCCTTGCATTCCCAATATATTCATTTCTTCTATGCCTGGTGGATTTTCTCCTCTCCAGTGTAACCCTTTTCCTCTCCATGCTTCTCATGCCATACCCACTTTCTTTCCCAAACTGATAACTGGGATCCGAAGAGAAGCCCAGACACTGAGCTACCAAATTTGACATTGAACTTAGAAAATTCTTTTGTAAGAATATAGATTGTTTAGTATCTTTTCTTCTTTTTCTTTTTTTTTTTTTTTAAACAGAGTCTCGCTGTATCACCCAGGCTGGAGTACAGTGGCACAGTCACAGCTCCCTGCAATCTTTGCCTCCCGGGTTCAAGGGATTTTCATGCCTCAGCCTCCAGAGTAACTAGGATTATCGGCGTGCACCACCACGCCTGGCTAATTTTTATATTTGTAGTAGTGATGGGGTTTTGCCACGTTGGCCAGGCAGGTCTCGAACTCCTGGCCTCAAGCAATCAGCCTGCCTCAGGCTCCCAAAGTGCTGGGATTACAGGAGTGAGCTGTCATGCCCAGCAGTATCTTTTCTTCTATTGTTACCATATTAGGTAACAAAAAAAGGGATCGGACCCCAGTGGGCTTGGTTTAGTACCCCTTATGTCTCTTCAAACTGAAATCATTAACATCAATCTGAAAAATGCTTACTCTTTCCATCTCCAAATTGAGTTTGCTTCTTCATTTATTGTTCCTCTTACGTTTCTCATTCTTATCCTCTGTCCTACTGTCATTCATCCATGGCCTTTTAACCCCTCTACAAGCCTCCTGCTGTTCTTCCTTTGTTCTGCCTATTCCTCAGGCTTGCTGGTGGTTTCCAAAGGTATAGCTTGGAAATGTTCAAGGCCCTGAGAAATAAACTGATGGCCTCTTTTAAAGATGAAAAATGAAGGGAGAAAGAAAGGATGGATTTTATGGTAAGTAAAGCTAATATGACATTCACATAGAGAAACATGGCTCGCATGTTTATTGTTTTCGAGTACGGCAAAATCTTTGAACAACAAAGGAATGTTTTTCAATACTCAATGTTTTTGGCTAAGAAATGTATCCCTTGAGATTTGAAGCAAATGGGATTACAAGGCACAGTCTGAGTATCAATATATCTTCCATCCCACCCTGTGCAGTTGCCTAGTAACATCTAAGTGTATCAGCTCTATTCTAAATCAAATCGATCTCTGACCCAACTTCACAGTTTTATAATTCTTCTCTAGGGAGAGTCAGACCTTAGGTCAGCAGCCATTCTGATCTAGTTATTAATTGTCTTCAAAAGATGATAGAAAATGCTCACAGAGTATAAGAGAGCAAGTCATGATTGACTCGGGAGATAAAGGGTGGACTGAAGCAGTACTGCCAAACGATCATTTAAACAGAGTTGGCAACTTTATCCAAAGCAAGTACCCTTTCAGGATTTACACAAAAACAGCTTTACATTAACCAACTTGATTAAAGAAAGTAAATGAACAATTATTCTGACCTCATATTTTATTAATGGGAAAACTGAGTGTCTTAGTTTGTTTTCTGTTGCTGTAACAAAGTATTACAGACTGGGTAATTTATAAAGCAAAGAAATGTACTTATCTCATGGAGGCTGGAGAATCCAAGTCCAGATGGTGCTGGCATCTTTTGGGGGCCTTCTTGCTTGTCATAACATGGCAGAAGACCTTACATGGTGTGAGGGCAAGAGCATGAGAGCCAAAGAGAACTTGCTTTTATAACAAAGCCACTCACAAAATAATAAACCCACTCCTGTGATAGCAATATTAACCCATTCGTGAGAGCAGAGGGATTAAGTTTCCAACACATGAACTTTTGGGAGACACATTTAAACCATAGCACAGAGGTTCTGACAGGAAAAATTATGTGTCCAATATCACAGAAAATAAAGGTAGTGATGGCAGAGCATGATGGTGTCTTATTGTGGTTCTCTATCATATCAGTTTGTTCAAAGCCATGTCCCTCAGGCTACTACCAGTGAGTGTTTTGTTCAAAGTATTTTTTACTGCTGGACTGCTCAGAATTTTCAATATGCTAATGTGTACTGTGTATCTCTGAAGGGACATCTATTGGGTCTGTTTTCCACACTTATTTGGCCAGAGAACAACATTTTGGACCAGCAATTCATGAAATCTGCTTTTGAACTAGATACATAACATTTCCCATTTTGATGGACTTGACCAAATCTAGCAGCCATTTTGACCTTTTGTCATACCAGCAAGAGTTTGTATGGTTTCAACTGCTCTATGTTATCTGGTTGCTGAACCAGTGGTAAGTATGATACCTATATGACGTGGTTTCTACATCTCTACTGTAACTTCCTTCCTCCAAGTCACCATCTTCTCTTTCACTTTTTTCCTATATTCTAACTGGTTTTCTTAATTCTGCTTTTATCCTCTAAGACATGTTCTCTGCTCATTAATCATCATGGGGAGGCTGAAGCAGGAAGATTGCTTGAGGCCAGCAGTTTAAAACAAGCCTGGCCAATATAAGAAGACCTTGTCTCTACAAAAAATTGAAAAGTTAGCCAGGCATGGTGGCACACATCTATAGTCCTAGCTACTTGGGAGGCTAAGGCAGGGAGGATCATTTGAGCCCAGGAGTTTTAGGTTGCCTTGAGGGTTGATCATGCCACTGCATTCCAGCCTGGTGACAGAGGGGAACTTGCAGTTGGCATTGGTCAACAGAAAGAGCCCAGTTCTTCTCCACAACAATGCCTGATCCCACATCACACAACCAATGCTTCAAAAGTGAATGAGTTGGGCTACAAAGTTTTGTCTCATCTCCTATATTTACCTGACTTCTCACCAACAAACTATCACTTCTTCAAGCATCTCAGCAACTTTTTGCAGGGAAAATGCTTCCACAACCAGCAGCATACAGAAAATTCTGAGAGTTCCTTGAATCCCAAAGCATGGATTTTTATGCTACAGGAATAAATAAATGTTTCTCATTGGCAAAAATATATCGATTGTAATGGTTCCTATTTTTGTTAATAAAGACGTGTTTGAACCTGGTTATAATGATTTTAAATTCACGGTCTGCAACAGCAATTACTTTTGCACGAACCTAAGGTGTATAAAACAGTTATGTAAGAAAGGCTAAGTGGGGTTTTGGTAAAGTTCAAAATACTTTTCTTCTGAAGAATAACAGTTGTTGGTTATTTTAGTAATATCTCATTTCAAAAGTGACCAAAAATATTAGCTTATAAACAAAAGACTAAGAAAGGCTTAGTTGACAGAGCACCTCACTGCAATTGAGGAGATCAAGTTCTACATCAGCAAATGCCACTCACTTTAGGTGATCTTTAGCAAGTGACTTCTTTGCTCTGAGCCTCATTTTTTTTTTTAAATATAAGACTGGACTAAAATGATATTAGAGTTTATTACAGCATTTGCACCCTGATTGCTGAAGTCAGAGGTTTATGACATGAACAGGCTTGATTACAAAATCCAATCTTCCCAAGCTTTCAGTGATCCATTCTACTTTTTTGAGTTCTTGGAAAGAAACTCCTATTTTATCACACTCACAACACAAACTAAGAAATTCTAAGGTTAAATGGTGAGGTGATAATCATATAACAGATAATTTTCAATTCCAGTAATTCCTGAGCACCTGGAACTGGGCACTGTTCTGTCCTGATAGAGCTTTCATTAGTCTAGTTGATGAGATAGACAGTAAATAAGATACATAAGTAAAATATATACTAGAATAAATAATGTTAGGTACTGAAGGTGTAAAATAGAGCACAAAAACGGGAGGCTAAGGCAGGAGAATGGCGTGAACCCAGGAGGCGGAGCTTGCAGTGAGCCAAGATCATGCCACTGCACTCCAGCCTGGGCGACAGAGCGACACTGTCTCAAAAAGAATAAAAAATAGAACACAAAAAGGGAATAAAAAGTATTCTTAGGTTAAATCTTAGAATTAAAATTTTAGATAAGATGGACAAGGAAGACTTCAGTGAGATGGTGATGGCAGAATAAAAGAACTGAAGAAGTGACCCATGCAGATATCTGGTAAAGAACATTCCAGACAGAGGAAACCACAGTACAAACGCCTTGAGATAGGAACTCACCTAGTATGTTCAATAAACAGACAGCTTGCCATTGTTCTGACTACAGCAGAATGAGCATGAGAAACAGTAACAGGATATGAGCTTGTTGAAGTAATTGGGGGCCTGTGATCATGATAATGACATTGACTTTTATTCTGAGTGAGGTGCAGAGCTATTGGAAGATTTCAAATAGAGACTGTATTTTCATAAAATCAGTTTGTCTGCCCTAATAACAATTATGTGTGTGTATGTCTGTGTGTGGGTCTCTGTGTGTTTGTGTGTGTATGTATGTATGTGTGTATGTATGTGTGTATGTCTTTAGGGGGATGCCAGGGATGAAGGGAGTCCAGTTAGAAGGTTATTGTGATCATTCCAGAAAAAGGTAATGGAGACACTGATCAAAGTGTTTGCAGGAGAAAAGGTGAAAATATGGCCCAGTTCTGGGTATATTTCCAAGAAAGAGATGTGAGGATCTGCTGAGAAATCTGATGTGGGGTTAGAAAGAGTTAAAGAGTTAAAGGCTTTTCTTTAGTGAGCATTCACACATTTCCAGTTGGCCAGTGTGAGGATGTTCATGCTTGACCAGTGTTATGATCAAATATTCCCCTCCATTCTAAGCAACTGCATTGCTTAATCAGAGTTGTGAGATCCTGAAGCTGGACAGAACCATAAAAAAATGACCTGGGCTCATTAGTGGATTATCAATGGAGGTGACAACTTTCCAGGAAATTTCAGATCCTATTCTATGCTTCTAATATGCGTGAACTTCAGCTTCCTTACCTTTGGGTCAGAGCATCTTCGCAAGTCATTCTTGCCTGCCTTATATTTATAGTCATTAATTCAACAAACTGAAGCATTACAGATCTAGCTCCTTGAGGGCAAAGCTAATACTTTTCTATTTCAGAAAATAGATATACATCTCCTCTCTGCACAAGAGTATGAAGTAACCAATAACTGAGTTTTGTTTTCTGTCCAGAAACCATGAATAAAAAATTATTATATCCAACCGTTTCTGACTCAATACTATTAACACAACTATGCTTCCTAGAAAAAAATATATGGATATTACAAAAAAGCAAACATACACAACCCAGAATAACAACTCCCAAATCTGATGGGTCATGTGAATCACCATGGGATTCTGCTGAGGATATAAATCTCTGTACCCCTTAACCTAGTAAATCAAAATCTCTGGCAGCAGAACTTAAGCACACATATTTCTGATACATTTCTCTGCTGAGTCTGATGCTCCTTCAGGTTTAGGAGCCAGTAGCTGAGCATCTCTGTGTTTGTGGACCACCGCTAATAGCACTGGTCTAGTGAAAGCAATGGCCTGTATTATTCTCACAATCACCCACTTGCTGGTGTTTTGCTCAAGAAGGTACCCTAATACTGGTCAGTCATAGAGCCCCTGGCTGTTCCATTTACTCCATCTGGTCTGGAATCATATTCAAGTGGAAGTACATTAGCTCTCTGAATGTGCTCAGCGGTAAGCTATAGCTGGCTCAACAGAGTTTGAGAAGATCCTCCTAACTTCTTGCTAAAAGTTAATGGACATGTATGATCCTATTGAAGTGATGGAAATGCTCGAAAAAAGGTTTATGATGATATAAATTTAGCACCTGGTAAATTCACTAAAAAAGAAATTATTGAATTGTGTGAATGGTGTATATGGTGTGTGAATTAAAATAGGCAAATTATATGATATGTAAAATATGGCTCAGTAACATTTAAAAAATGACCCTCATCTCCTGCAGCTAGAGGGTAGACAGCTAAAAATTAGGCACAGGGATTAATTTTAGAAGAGGCAGAACTTCAGAGAAGACCGAATTCTTATTTTAGACACGTCTTTTATGCCAAAGTGAGGCCCCTGATAAGAAAAGATGTCTCCTACTTGGGATGAGGTTATTTGCATATGTGTTCTTAGATACGTTGAACAACAAGAATGCCAAGATAATCCTGAATCCTTTGGGATTACACAAGTGGCCCATTTTCCCTTACTTGATGGCTGTGAAGAAACCCTAAGTGCAGTAGGTCCCTTAAAATGCAATGCTGGCTTTTCTCAGGATCTATCCTAACCTCCTTTCTAGGCACCAGATCAATAACTCATGTAACATCTCATCATGACCCAACTGGAAAAGTTACGGATATGCTAAAAGAGAAGATGGAGTCTCAGCCAGTGGAACCATAAATGTGGTTTACACGTTCTGGAACCTAGAGAATCTTTGTGTTAGATAAAGGTGGAGAGGAATGGATTATAAAGTTAGGTAAGAGGATTTGTTGGTATGGGACAGTATTCTCAGGCAAGATTTAACACACTGAAAAGACTCTGGGAGAAGGTTCTAATATTTTGCCAAGGTGATATTTGAAAACTTGGAAAAAGACATAGCCAACCTTAAAAATAGAGATAGCAGAATTGCCTTGGCAAACTGTGGAGAATAGAATCAACAGGCACAGAGAAGTGGGTATACTAGAATGTTTCTACTACATATTAGAAAACCTACTGGCTGATTAAGTTCCTCAGAAGGGCTCAGAGGACGTTTCATTTTACTAAAGAATTAAGAAATGCAGTACTCACAGCACTGCTCCAATGAAAGCAACGGCCAGTATTATTCTCACAATCACTCACTTGCTTGTGTTTGGAGGGGAGGGGACCAGCATCATTCATAGTTCATCAGTGGTGGCATCTGAGGCTTACACTGACAATAGGAAACGCTATTGCAAAACTGGGTTTTCTAATAGCAATGGGAGATAGATTACATACTGACGCCAGGTGGCAGCACTTCAACATCAAAAACAGTAGACGTAATTACCATAATCAGCGGCAAGGTTAGAATGGCAGCTACAGGGGTGAGCCATACTCTGGCCTGCAGGATTCTATGGCGTTGGCTTGTAAAACGTGATGTTCCTAGGGGCAATGTAATTGGTCACCTCAATGGATAATTATGATCCCTGTCCAGTTTCCAGGCCTGAGCATTCTCACACCCAGAACCCATTGACTGAAGAAGTAGGCAAGTCTCCTATGAGGAAAAGACACTGCAACATCACGAGAAGTATATATAGCAGTGATTTCAACCAGCTCTTCCCCAGAAATACCTATCACCATTTTCTTGGGTGACAAAACACTGGGGTAAAGGGACTATTCAATTCATTTGAGGGCTGCTGGATACAGGGTCTGGGTTAATTAATACTGATATTAATTACTGATATCCAAAGAAGTGAAGCAGTATTATGTCCTACCTATGAGACTCAGGGATTAAGTAAATAATAAATGGATTTCTAGCTCAGGTTTCTTAAGTCTCTCCCATGACCACCAGTTGGTCTGTAGATCCAAGACCCTGGATCTACAGACCAACTGGTGGTCATGTCCCTAGATCCCAAGTGTTTTATTAGAAAGGACACAATTAGCAGTTGGCAGAACCTTCACATTTCTTTCTTAACCTGTAGGATAAGAACTATCATAATAGGAAAGATTAGGCTATAGCCACAAAAACTACTCCCATGTCTAGCTAAGATGATAAATCAAAAACAGCATTGCACACAGGTGGCATGACAGATTAACATCATTCTCAAAGACATAAAGGTATAATCTTGGCACTATTGGGGGCCAAGATGGGAGGATTGCTTGATCCCAGGAGTTTGAGACCAGCCTGGGCAACATAGAGACCTCATCGCTACAAAAATTTAAAAATTTAACCAGGCTTGGTGGCGCATGCCTGTAGTCCCAGTTACTCAGGAGGCTGAGGTAGGAGAATTGCTAGAACCTGGGAGATCGAGGCTGCAGTGAGCTGTGATTATGCCACTGCACTCCAGCCTCGGTGACAGAGTAAGACCCTGTCTCCCCCTAACCCAAAAAAGACATAAAGGATGTAGGAATGATAGTCTCCCTCATAATCTTACATAATTAATCAGTCTCATCCCTGCCAAAAAAAAAAAAAAAATGGACCCTGGCAAAACAATAGTGGGTTAAACAATAAATTTCCCAAGCAGAAGTCTCCACTGGGTCTTCTGTGCTGAATGTGATACCTTTACTGAAACAGGTGAGCACAGCCTTGGGTCTGTGGTGTGTGGTTAATAAATTATTTCCCCTGCTCATTAGAAGAGCTTCTCCTAATACTGGAGCATCTCTTGATACTCCTGTGCCTAACTCTTACTCTAAATGGGAAAGTTGATCAAGCACAGCCTGATAAAGGCATGATAACCAGCTCTTCAGACATATTAGAGATGAGGATCAGCCTAAGGCAAGCCACCTATACCTGAGAAGTGCTAGCGGAGAGGGAAAGGAGTCTAGGATCGGGGGCAGAGAAAGGAGTTGAGTATGTTTCAGCTCAGGACTAACTACTGCAGCAGGTGCTGTAGTTCATCCCACTAATCCTTCTCTTAAAAATTTCCCAGGACTCGGCTGGGTGTGGTGACTCACGCCTGTAATCCCAGCACTTTGGGAGGCCGAGGCGGGAAGATCACTTGAGGCCAGGAGTTTGAGACCAGCCTGGCCAACATGGTGAAACCTCGTCTCTACTAAAAATATAAAAATTAGCCAGGCATGGTGGTGGGCGCCTGTAATCCCAGCTACCTGGGAGGCTGAGGCAGAAGAATCACTTGAACCCGGGAGGCAGAGGTTGCAGTCAGCCGAGATCATACCACTGCACTCCAGCCTGGGTGACAGAGTGAGACTCCATCTCAAAAAAATAAAAAATAAAAAATAAAAAAATCCCCAGGACTCTTGAACCCAGAATCCTGGAGAGGCCATAACTGGATAAAATGAATGTCATATGAGAAGCAAGTGGTTCTGAGCAATGTGTAGGGAGGACTACAGAAGGCACCACAACACCCTATCCAGCCCGGCCTGGGTGTGCCCTGGGCTGGCATACCCAGACCCCAGCCTCTGTGAGGCGCTGGCTGATTGCTCACTCTGTGCCTCTCCTCTGGAGAACTGTCCCAGCTGACAAGAGTGGCCTCCCCCAGAAAGTTTTGCATGCAACACCTTCTGGAGGTAGCCCACAGCCAATGGCTGACTCATATGTAGTACGAAGGGCTCACCCCTTTGCCTCAAAGTGTGAGGACTCTGCAGGACAACTCCCTGGGCAGTTTATGCTCTGGAATTCCCCACATCCTCACAGATCAGGTCAAGATTAGGCTTCATGTGGGGCCACATTCTTCTCCCCTACTTCCCCTTGGTGCTTCACTCTCTTTTGTAAGTTTACACCTGAATCCTGGTCTGAGGCTCTGTTTCTATGAGACTTGCCCTAAGACACATGGTTTAAATAAGACATAGGTCTTTGGGGCCCCCAAAGAAGAATTCAGGGACTAGGCAGTTTCAGTGTGATATTAGAGCAGCCCCCAAGTCAGAGACCCAGGCTCCTCTTTCTTCCCTTCAACCTTACTTCATGGCTGCTGCCATCACACCCACATTCCACCTAACAGAAAGTCAGGGTGAGATAGCAGCCGAAGTGTGCACCTCATCATGCTTAGTCTTGCTTAGAAGCTTTCATGGACACCCTATTTGATGGCTTTGTTCACATCTAGTGGCCGCAGCCCCCATCAGTAAGAGAAACTGGGAAAGGTAAGCTTTCAGCTAGCCACATAGATGCTACCCATTAACAGCCTATTAGAAAGGAAGATGGGAGAGCAGAGATGCTGGCAGTCTCTGCTACGGGCCCTACAGTCTCTGCTACTATGGCAATGGGGCCTGACACAAGGATTGAAACCTCCTAAGACAGTAGTCTTTTATAGATCACCTCACCAGAGTCACAACTGATCAGGAAGTATGGTGAGAAGAGTATATTTACCTAGTAGAAGTAAAGAAACAATAATATGTGGAACCAGACATGGCTCCCGGGCAGTCTGGGACCTATTCATGGGTTCGTGTATCTAATTCTAGACCATAGAGGTAGGGATAGGTAAGTGCCTTTTGATCCCAAATTCTTCCTATGAAAGCCACTTTTTCTCACCCTCAAGGCATATGCTTTGTTCTCTAAGTAGAACTTGCTGCATAAAGCCTTAACAAAAATGCCCAGGGCTCAGCAGAGCTTACATTTTATTTATTGTACAACTTTTAAATGCTACAGATTCATCCTCAGTACAACTAATTATCATATCAATGAAATCACGGTAGAATTACCAGAACCACTTTCTCTGTCCAAAGAAGACTCAATAAGGAAAATAATTATATCAAATTTCTGCTTAACATAAAAAAGTTAACCCCAAACTGTTTTTTCCCCCAAAGATTCATTAAACCTTGAGGACCAAAAAATAGCTGAAGAGCTTTAATGTATAGTAACATTTTTCTGAATAATCTTATCACCATTTCTTGAATTTGAGAATCTTCTATCCTATAATTCTACCTCTCCAAGTCCTAATAATGTGCCCATTCCAAACAGATCACTTCAGGAATAATCACACCAGCCATAACTACATAATACAGCCATTCAGTACAGGGAGTAAAATCACTGTTATAAATGAATCACAGGCCGGGCGTGGTGGCTCACGCCTGTAATCCCAGCACTTTGGGAGGCCAAGGTGGGTGGATCACGAGGTCAGGAGATTAAGACCATCCTGGCTAACACAGTGAAACTCCGTCTCTACTAAAAATACATAAAATTAGCCGGGCGTGGTGGTGGGCGCCTGTAGTCCCAGCTATTTGGGAGGCTGAGGCAGGAGAATGGCGGGAACCCAGGAGGTGGAGGTTGCAGTGAGCCGAGATCGCGCCACAGCACTCCAGCCTGGGTGACAGAGCGAGACTCCATCTCAAAAAAATAAAATAAAATAAATAAAATAAAAAAATAAAAAGGAATCACAATATCTTTGTGAAATAGAAAAAAAAGTGTATGCAATTAATATTGTTTTTAGAATTGAAGGCAAAATTGTAAGTCATGTGCTAGAGGTCAGATAAAACAAAGAACTGAAACTTCCTGGTTTCTGTTTCCAGGCCCTGGTCAATATTTTCTTGACTTTTGCTTTTTATTTACACCTTACTCTATGTGGCAGAATCCGCAACTATCCTCTAGTATCCATGTTTCCTTTTGTCTTTTCAGTATAGAATCTCCTGAGGTTTTTTTTTTTTTATTCATTTTTGGTTTTTAAATAGAGACAGGGTCTTGCTCTGTCACCCACACTGGAATGCAGTGGTACAATCATAGCTCACTACAGCCTGAAACTCCTGGGAGCAAGTGGTCCTCCCAAAGTGCTGGAATCATAGGAATGAGCCATCATGGCTGGCCCACTCTCTTGAGTTTTCTCCAGGAACATGGATGGCTGCCCAGGTAAAGGTGGCATTTTCCATCCCAGGCACCTGAACAAATTTGGAAGGAAGTGATATGCAAAACTTCCAGTTACATTCTCTTTTTTTTTTTTTTTTTTTTTTGAGACGGAGTCTTGCTATTCTTAAAGATGTAAAGATGGAGCTGCTTTCCACTGATGCTCTGACGGCTGGCTGACAAATGAAGATCATAGCAACCCTGGAAGTCTCGTGCTAAGGATTAAAGATCACAGAGCAATGCTACTAGCCTCAGACCACTCACCTCTGAACTTGTGTGTGCAACAGAAGATATTTTATATTATCTAAGCTACCATACTGAATAATTTCTTTTTCCTCTTAATACATTTCACCCAATCTCAGACATCAGTCAAAAAAGAAGCCTTACTCTAAGGCTCATTTAAAGTGAAAGGAGTTCAGAGGGACCCAAAGGCAAGATAACTAGAAATTATGTTCCAGGGTGGGGCTGGGTGGGGAAGGGAACCATCTGAAAGAAATGAGAATATGTATATAACTTGAGGAAGGAAAAAAAAAAAAAAGGACACCAGAGGAATTCTCTTAATATTCTTTAAGGATCATTGTGTGTGAAAAGAATTACACTTATGCTCATATAGAACAAGGAAATAAAGTGAGATTAATTTTCAGAAGCCCAATAGAAACAAATTTCAGTCCCTTTAAAGGAAGAGCTTTCTCATAATCGCAACAACCCACAGATATTCAGGAATGTCCCGGGTAGTAATGAGTTTCCTGTCCCTGGAAGGTAATAATGAGTTCCCTAACACTGGAAGTATGCAAGCAAAATTTTATGTGAGAGAGGGTGGAGCAAAGGTCATGACTCAGACAGAACAAGTCCTAATTCTTTCTGTGTCCAGTTATCAATTGTTGTTTAATAACATGTATCAGCCAAGTCTTCATTTGTAAAATGGGGTTAATTTTAATATTTATGTGATAGAGTTATAAATAACAAAAGATAAGATGCATATGAAAAACTTCCAAAGGAGATGCTAGATGATGCTATTTGGTGGGGATATTTAAGTGGGGTTTAATCATTAGCTAGGGAAAGAGGAAAGAATGGCACGATAAACGGTCCTAAGAGTCTGTGATTCTGAAATATAAATTTCCCTTTCAGTGATTTATAACCATGATGCATAATGAAAACATCTAGCTAACAAAGTAAGCAAATTGTTCCTCCCATTGTGGGAGAGATTTATTTTTTCAAGAATAATTAAATTGAGTGGCCCTTTAGTCACTCTCCACCTACCATTCCACACCCATAGGAATACTCAGAACATTTCAGCCTCCTTGTTGGATGAGAGAATTATAACTTCTGGATACTCCCAGAAGTTCTTCCATGCCTGTTTTCCTATTTATACTTGTATTGAGACAGCCAAGTATAAAGGGGTGCCCGGAGAAACTCCGATCAGCCTGCACACTGGGAGAACGCAGTGGAGCCATGGAAATTCGCGCCCTTTGCAGGCGATAGGAGCCTGGCCTCTCCTGTTCCAGGGTGGTAACCTGGAATTCAAACTGTGAGGCAGGAAGCCTACTAGCAGGACTTGCTTTGCTGAGAGTCCCTGTTTTCTTTTATACCTTTTCATCCAATAAACGCTGCCCTTCTCACCCTTCCAAGTGTCTGCAAGCCTAATCTTTCATGGCTGTGTGACAAGAACCCAGCCTTTAGCTGAACTAAGGAGAAAGTCCTACAACAATATTTGGTCCAAACTTTGGAGTATGCAAGGGGTTCTGAAAGACAAAAGGTGTCTGATACAGAGGAAATACTAAGACCTGGGAGTTGAGAGGCAAGTTTGAGTCTAATGGCTGACACTGACTCCCGGATCTTGAACAAGTTTCTACCTCTTTAGAATTGTTATCCAAGCCTGAAATACAATAGGGTTGGGAAAGATCATGTAGGGACGCTTCCAGGTTCAGATCCTATTGTTTAAATTCAAAGGAGTAGGATAACCCACTCTTGAAAGCCTGGATCACACCTTCGAGTTCAAAAGCTACTGAAGCCCCAGGGTATAAGATCTAGGACAATATCCTTGTGAACCTAGAATGTACAACATTGCCATCTGACAGAAATAAGTTTTGTGAACAGATAGAAATAATCTCTCTTCTCATTAGAGCAACAGAGCCAAAAATACGGATATCCAGGCTTTTAAATTTCCTAAGAATTATATCCTGGTGTGTAGGCAGGGGTTGTTCATATAGAACCAAGAAATGCCAGTTCAGAGATGACCTCTCTTAGGTACTATGAATGATGGCTAAGACTATGGTGTGGCATCTGGAGTGAGTCAAACCTGTGTTTAAATCCAAGTCCTGCTACACGCATTTTAGGTAACCCTAAAGAAGTAATATTTCAGGCCTCAACTTTCTTCCCTGAAGAATGGCCATCTTATTTTTGTTTGTCTTTAAGTGAATTAAATAAGGTCATGAATGTAAAACTCTTAGTACTTTGCCTGGCAATTTGCCCACTGGATTCTTATCTATTTGAGGGTAGGAACTACGATAGTATTCCAAGAATGTCGCCCTTACATGATACATAGTAAGTGCTCAAGAAACTTTGAAATATCTGACACCACATGCCCCAAAGGTCTACTGAGTTGCCCTGAACAATGAAAATTTCTCTCTTCTTTAATTACCTGATACCTGTTTGGTCCAGTAGATCAAGAAGAGAGACAGTATTACTGTTCTTAGATCCATTTTTCCTCTACATCTGCCTTTATGTCATTTACCATATGTACTATATATGCATGGCACTTGGGCCCCACTATATGGTGCAAATTGATATCACTATGCTTTGTCATATTCAAAGCTTCCTGCCTTATGATCCTGTAATTTTTAGATTTTGATTTTTGAGTGTTATGTATATTCTTCATTTGTTTAGACACTGATGGAATTTAGCACAAGTAGTGTCAATCAGATACGGTAGTAAAACTTATAAGTAACTTGAAGTCTCATTAGAATTATAACATAGGCTCTCACTGCACTACCATCCCAAATTGAGTGCTAAGGAAGCTCTAAGTTTATAGATACATTTTCTACCCAGTCAATCATCATTTATGAGAATTGTGCTATTTCACAGAGCTGGAATTTTACATAAGCCAATTGAGACACACTTCTATCAAGACAATTATGACTATAATACCAAAAGACCACTTTTTCAATAATCAACATCATCATTATAATTAGTCAACAAAAAGGGACACTTGCAAACTAGTGAGCTTTTATAGCCAGGATGTTATTAAATATGAATCCCAAAAGGACAAGTGCATAGAAGAATGAACAATGTGTTCCATTAAAAACAGTAATTTGTTGACAAATTCTGCACATAATGATGTATAATTATGAAAACCAATTTGGCTTTGCTATTAGAAAAATCTTTTTTGCAAGTTTAGGATTCTTTTTCACATCTTTGCAAATATTGAAAAACAGTTTTCTTTTTCCAAATGGAAGTGTTTATATATAAATTACTTTTAATTTGTATAAAATTATACTTGCACTTTATATTAAGATCATGTCACTGGGTGAAAATATAGAAATCCTTTCTTATTATCTAGACCTGTCCTGCTCAGTATGGTAGCCATTAGTCACATATGGCTACTGGTTACTTCACAAGTGGCTACCAAAACTGAGGAATTAAGTTTTTATATTTTAACTGAGTCAATTTTAAGTTTTAAAACTGAAGCAATATAAAATATTTTTCAATTAAACATAACTACATTATTGTACATTTCTCTTTAACTATTAAAAATTTAGTGTCTGAATTGAGCTTTGCCAAAAGTGAAATGTATACACAAAATTTCAAAGATTAAATATTAAGAACAATGGAAAATATCTTCATGTTACGATGATTACTTGTTGAAACAGTAACATTTGGGTATGTTCAATTAAATAGAACGTATTTTTTTCTATGTATTTTCACTGTTTTTTAATGTGGCTACTAGTAAATTTCAAGTTACGTATGTGGTTCATATTGTATCTGGACTTAACAGCATTGATCTTTCCACTTAGAAAAATCTACTTTTCCATGATCTACTTCCTGTAATGGCAGTGAAGCTTTTATCAAATTTATTCATTCACAGACAAGATTTATAAACACTAGACAAAACAGAAAATACAACAAAAACAACTGTTTTTTTGAAGGCCTGAAGAAACATTGAAAGCAAGATGAAATTGAAAGTTGGCCTTTGAAGGAAGGGCACTGCCCTGGATAAGATTCAGGTGTAGTAAGCTTTGCACCTGTGGACATTACCCAATCTGCAGGAAAATGAATGGAAAGAATTCAGGAAGAAAGTCAAAGGCATAGGAATGGAAGTAAGGCCATAGAGTTTAGAGCTGCCAAAATAGCTAGAAAGTGAAGGGGAAAATTTAGAAAAGGAGGAAGCCCCTAAATCTACATCTGAATACCTGTCAAATCCTTGGCTAAACTGTAAATACAAATTCAGGGGACTCCAAGTTTCAGACTGTAAAACATTATCTGTGAGGCTGGAGGAACTGAGCAGAGATCTCAGATTTCATCCACTTCAAGAGAGACAATTGGTGTTTAGGTGGACTGCCTATCAGAAAAAAAACAAACATCCTTTAGAAGAAAACTGAATCACAGTCTCTACCATGTTTCCTTTAGAACATGTAGTATAGAATAAACTAGTAAACTCACAAAAGAACATGTAATCCACAGTCAAGAGAAAAAGCAGTCAATAGGTACTGAACTTGAAATGTTCAAGATGTTGGAATTTGCAAACAAGGACTCAAAAGGTATATTAAATCGATGTTTCAAAAAGTAAAGACAAATATGTCATAATGAATAAAGAAGGCAGGGAAACTAGGCAGAAAAATGAAAGCTAAACAAAAGAAAAAAATGAAAATTCCACAGCCAAAGAGTAAAATATCATGAAAATTTATTTGAAAAGGCGTTACAAGAGTACTGGAGACAAGGGGAAAAAAAGATCAGTGAATGTAGAGAGAGATTATCTTCTGTAGATTAGTATCTGAAGGTAGATTGGATCTTAGTAGAAATTATCCAATCTGGAGAACAGAGAGAATAAAGACTGAAAATAAATCAGAAGCTCAGAGGCTTATGGGATAATAATAAGTGTTCTAAAATGTATGCAACAGCTCCCAGGCTGTAGTACTTGAGAAAACATGAGAACATTCCTAAAAGAAATGTGACAAGCATCAACACCGTGAAGACACACAATACAAGGAGATCAAGGAATTTGGTATGCCTAGCTTCATTCTGACAGGAAGCAGAGCAGGCTATGGTGGGCAGACCAAGCAGATTTTCTGGAAAAGTCTCTGTAAAACTACAAAGAAGATTGTGATGAGGCTTAAATGTGTTGAGCCCAAATGCAGATCTAAGAGAATGCTGACTATTAAGAAATGCAAGAATTTTAAATTAGGGAGAGATGAGAGAAAAAGCCAAATGATCCAGTTCTAAACTTCATCTTTTGTTTTATTATGAAGACAATACAATATTGAGTTCACTTCAGAGAGTGTATGTGCATGTGTGTGGAATGGAAGTCTCAGAGTAAGGAAGAGATAAAAAAAGGTGGGAAAAAATTGAAAAAGAAAAAAAGCAGCCAAATAGTCCCCAAACTTGGGGGAAGAAAAACAAACAAGCAGACCCAATGAGCTGAGAAAATCCCAGTCAGAATAATCACAAAGAAAATCATACCTAGGGATATCATAGTCTAACTTCTGAAAACCAAAGATAAACTGACTATTGTTAAAGCAGCCAGTGAAAAAAGATAAAGGACATACTACCAGCAATATGAATGATGGCTAATTTCTTATCAAAAACAAAGGAGGCTAGAAGACAAAAGAAACCTGTGTCCAATGAAAATAAGCTTCAAGATAAGGGTAAAATGAAGATATTTTCAGAGAAGTAGAAACTGCATGAATTTATTGCCAGCAGATTTCAAGAACTACTATAGAACATTATTCAAATTCAAGAACTACTATAGAACATTATTCAAATTAAGGAAAATGATAACAGATTGAAACTCAGGACTCCAGAAACTAGTATAGAATACCAAAAGTGATATGCATGGGTAAATAATAAGAGTCTCTGTTTTTCCTTATTTAAAAGACACAACTACTTTAAAAATTGTAATAGTTTAACACTATAAGTAGAGCTGTAAATAATAGGTATAATATAAATATCAATAGCTTCAAGGACGGATAGTTAAATGGAACTATGATGTTGCACATTTCTAGTATTTTACATTAATTGGTAAAGTACTAACCCTAAGTAGACCTAATAGGTTAAAATGCATATTATAATCTCTAGGGTAACCACCAAAAATATAAAGATGTATAGTTAAAAAGCCAATAAAATTGTCCACTAAAAAATATTTGATCAACTTAAAGAAAGAAAGAAAAAAGACACAGGGAGACCTTAAACAAATTCATGAATGCTCAAGTATCTCATAAAATGGTATAGTATTTGCATATAATCTACAGACATCCTCCCGTACATAATCACACATGGCTTAACAACAGGGATATGTTCTGAGAAATGCATACTTAGGTGATTTCATCATTGTGTGAACATCATAGTGTGTACTTACACAAACCTAGATAGTTTCACCTCCTGCACACTTAGTCTACATGGTATAGCCTATTTCTCCTAGGCTATAAACTGTACAGCATGTTACTGTATGAAATACTGTGGGCAAATGTACCACAATAAGTATTTGTGTATCTTAACATATCTAAACAAAGATATAGTACAAATATGGTATTATAATCTTAAGAGAACACCATTGTATATATATGGTCAGCTGTTGACTGAAATGTCATTTTGCAGTAAATGGCTATACTTTAAATTACCTCTAGATTACTAATAAGTCTGTAGCAAATACAATGTAAATGCTAGGTAAATAGTTTATTTGCATTTTTATTTGTATTTTGTTGTATTGTTATTTTTTGTGTTTTTCCTTAATCTTTTTAATCTTGAGTGGTTGAATCCACAGTTGTAAAACCCATGGATAAGGGGGGCTGACTATATATGCTGTCTAAAAATGACACCATTTGAATTAAAGACAAAGATAACGAATATGGTTTGGATCTGTGTCCCTGCCCAAATCTCATGTTGAAATGTAATCCCCAGTGCTGGAGGTGGGGCCTCATGGGAGGTGACTGGACCATGGGGGCAGTTTTTCATGAATAGTTTAGCACCATTCCCCTAGTCCTATTCTTGTGATATTGAGTGAGTGATTGTGAGATCTGGCTGTTTAAAAGTATATAACACCTCACCCCTCTCTCTTCCTCCTGCCCCAGCCATGTGAAGTGCTGGCTCCCTCTTCACCTTCTGTCATGATTGTAAGTTTCCTGAGGCCTCCCAGAAGCTGAATAGATGCTGCAATGCTTCCTGTACAGCCTGCAGAACCATGAGCAAATTAAATCTTTTTTATATATAAATTACCCAGTCTCAGGTATTTCTTTATAGCAATGCAAGGACAAACTAATAACCTAAAAATAAAAGGATAAAAAATGAAAACCCTAATACATCATGAAAACACTAAACATCAAAAAGCTGGAATGAAGATATTAATATCAGATAAAATAGAATTTAAGGCAAAGAGTACTACAGGAGAAAATAAAGGATATTTCATAATGATAAAACTTTTAGTTTTTCAAGAATACAACAATTAAAAATTTATGTGCCTATTAGGAGAGATTCCAAAAACAGCAAGCAAAATTGAAAGACCTAAAGGGAGAAACAGACGGATCCACAATATTCATTATCAATTTTAACATTCCTTTTTGTGTTATTTTCTAGCAACCAGACCAAAAAAAAAAAAAAACAACCACAAAGCAAGACTCAGAACACAGAAAATTTGAGCATTATAAACCTTCTTGACCTAGATAATATTTATAGAGCACTACACCTGGCAACTGTAGAATACATGTTCAAATCCAAGTACAATATTTAAAAAAAAGATCATATATGGGGCCATAAATTTTAATTATGAAATAGTTTCCAAAGATTGCTATGTTAGAGAATGTATTCTCTGACCACAATGAAATTAAATTAAAAATTAATAAAAGATATGTGTAAAAGCTCTATATACTTGAAAATCAAAAAGTATACATAGGAAAATGTATACGTAGATCAAAGTTGTTACAGGGAAATTAAGAAGTATGTCAAATAGAATGATAGTGAAATTTGTTAAATGTGTTTCCATCTAAGAAGCTAGAAATGTACGAGCAAATGAAACCTAATGGAAGTAGAAGAAGGGAAATGCTAAAGTGCAGAAATACAAGAAATAGAGAACGAGTACAATAATAATAAAGCCCAAAGCAAGTTCTTTGAAAAGATTAATAAAAGTGATCAATCCCTCACAACAATGATCATTAAAAAAAAGAAAGCACAATTACCAACTTTAGGAATGAAAGAGAGCATAACTAATTCAGATAAATAATCATACTAAACAGGGATAAGGAATCATTTCATGTAAGTTTTGAATACATTGCTTTCACTCTATACCCTCAAGTATTAAAACAGTCAACAAATGTTAAACTCTAGGTAATAGGTGTGTTTTTCACAGTTTTATGGGTTAGCAATACTAAAATTATTTCGTATATATTCTAGGAATGAGGAAATAATACATTTTAGATAATGAGATTTCTCAATGTCAGAAAAGACATTTACAAATATAGAAAGAGAAAGGTTAGAATTAACTCTGTGGAATTGGACTGGAAGTGGAAGCATCCACATCAACTTATGGCTCTAGATATGGATACGTGTATGCAGGTGTGTGTATATTGATACACATACCTACGTTTCTTATCTCAGTCTACTTAGGGGGCTTACAAGAAATGACACTCAGTAGCAAAGAGAACACTTCACGTCCACATCATGATTTTTAAATACCAACCTCAACTAAAGTACTCAAGTTTTCCCAGAGGAAAGGCTAACTCCAGGGTTGGGTCAAAGCACAACGTCCACCTGGAACATGCCAGACGTAAGGAAGTGCTCAAAAATGATTAGGACACGTCAATGTATACAGAACCTAGTTGAAAGAGACCAAATTCAGAACACTTGGACAAAAACAATTAGTAACTATACAAATAGATTTCATCCGATAAAATAATCCATAAGACCATGCTCACATAAATAAATAAATGAGGAAACTAATGGGGAGATATAAAAACTCATAATACAATGCAATTAAAATGTAGGGAGAGTGATGAGATTAAAAGTCATTGTTAAACACCATAGTAATAACTGTTTCAGGCTAGAATCATTGATCAGTGTTAAAACTAATAGATAAAAGTTTGATGAGAAACAGGATATTTTAATAGTTTTAAAAAATACTTGTTAATCACACAAAAGACTATTAACTTTATGGTGAAGAAAACTTATAGACACTGATAAAACCAAGTGATCAAAGTTAGCGCCACCATGAATGGGTCCAATGGGCATCATATGCCTATTGATTTATTGAAAAGAACGCATCATTTCTGTAATATTCTTCACAAAATTGTGTAACTCAAATCTGGTGAGAAATAATATATAAAGAGAAAAATATTTTTTAAAAGATATAAATCGAGGGGCATCCTACAAAATGAACATTTTTCAAAATGTCAAGGTCACGAAAGACAATAAAGACTAGGGAACTACCTTTATACGTGACTTCATGACAGGACTATGTTCTGAAGAATGGATGATTTCGTCATTGGGCAGACATCACAGAGTCTACTTACACCAACCTAGACAATAGGGCCTACTACACACCTACTAGGCTGGATGGTATAACCTATTTCCCCAGGGCTACAAACCTGTACAGCGTGTTACTGTACTGAATACTGTAGGCAATTGTAACACAGTGGTAAGCATTTATGTTTCTAAATGTAGAAAAGTACATTGAAACTGTGGTATTATAATCTTATGGGACCAACGTTGTATGTGCCATCTATTATTGACCAAAACTTCTTTATATGGCACATGACTGTATTCTAGATTAAAGGAAATTAGAGAGATTTGATAACTAAATGCGTGAGCTTGAATTGGAACTTGAATCAGGGATTTTTTAATTTATTTTACTATGAAGGATATTTAGTGAAACAATTGGTAAAATTTGAGTAAGGTCTGTATTTTGGATGATAGTATTGTAACAATGTTAATTTCCCAATTTTGAAAATTACACTGTGGTTATGAAAGAGAACATCCTTGTTTTTAGGAAATACATACAATTGTATTTAGAGATAGAGAGCTATTATATCTGTAATTTAGGACAGAGTATCAGGTTCAGAAATCTATTATTATATCCTATTATATTTTATAAATATCTGTGTATAAAAAAGCAGAGAAAGAAAGAACAAAGTAATTGGCTTAAAATGTTAACATTTGGGGAATCTGAGTGAATGTATACAGGTATTTTTACAAATTTCACATGTCTGAAATTATTTAAAGACAAAAACTTAGAATAAGATAATACGGGAAGAAAAATGCCAATAAATTCAACAAAAATGCAAAGGATAAAGTCTTTGAAAATTATAACTGATTAAACACAAACAGAAGAAACAGAATCTGAAGAGCCCTTTGTCTAGTAGAGAAATCCAATTCATTATGAAAAGGCTTCTTCAGAAGAAAATTCTAGGCCCAGATAGTATAACTGGTGAATACTATGAAACGTTTAAAGAAGAAAGAATACCAATCTTACACAAATTTGTAAAACAGAGAAGAGAATTCTTTCCAATGCATTTTATGAAGCCAGTATACCTTGATACAAAAAGCTAACAAAAGAGTTAAGAGGATTCCAAACAACCATTCCTTATAAACATAGATGAAAATCTTTCACAAAACATTAGCAAATAGAAACCTTGTTTTTAGGAAATAGACACAAGTATTTAATGATAAGTAAGCATAATGTCTGCAAATTACTCTCAAATGTTTCAAAAGTGTATATACACATCTGTATCTCTATATAAAGAAAGTGAATGATGAAGTAAATGGGCCAAAATGAAAACTGATGAATCTGAACAAAGGATATAATGAAGTTCCTTGTTCTTTTCTTGCAACTTTTACGTAACTTGATGTTTTATTGATGTAAAAAGTTCTCAAAATATCTACTTACTGTCACAGCTTAACAATGTAAGCATACATATAGCTTACCCATACGTAAAGATTGCTCTGAGAATGTAGACTGCTACATAAACACAACTTACTTAAACTCTTAGCTTTTCTTCAATTGCTCTAAAATTCTAACATCGTTTCACAAGGTATACTTATATCCTTTGCAGGCTGTGTTTCATATGCCTTTTGTCTCCTTAGGATCAAATCTTGATTGAGAAAGAGCAGCTAAATGCAGTTATATATTGGCCAGCATATCCAATCGCTCACTTTTTACTGTTCCATTCTCCCTTCTAAATATTTCTAGTATTTGCCCCTCCTGCCAGTCTTTATGGTCACTGCCAAGGCTGCAGTCTTGAGGCAATCCTACTGACTTATTTAATCAACTCCTAATTGTAGCTCATCCAGCACAACTGTCAAACCGTTCTTCACACAGCCAGAGAAATTATCTTTTATTCTACTAAACTGCAGTCTTTCTTGGATTAAAACCTAACAATAAATCAACATTACCTGCAGGAGAGAATCCCTGACCCTTAGATTACTGAACAAGAGTTCTGAGAGTTCAATCCCTGTTGCTGCTTAAATCTACCTACCTTCATAGGCAGAGTTCTAAGGTTACCCACGTAACTCATCCCCTTCTTCAACCTTCTCCCCTTGAATGGGGGCAGAGTCTGTAACTTTCTAGCCACTCAAGATGGCAAAAGTGATATCACTCCTGTTATTATGTAGTATTACATGGCAAAGGTGAAGGTATTTTGCAGATATAATTAAGGTCTCAAAACAGTTGATCGTGAGTTAAATAAAAGGTATGCTACCCTGAGTGGGCTTAAATTAATCAGGCAGGAGCCTTTTAGAAATGGTCAATAACTTCATGTATAGGGATTTTTTTGTTCCCCTGAAGCAGTGATGCAAACTGCCTATAGAAAGGTCCATGTAATGAGGAACTGTGGGGGCCTCTAGGACCTGAGAGCAGACATTGGCTGACAGCAAGAAAATGGGGAACCTCAGTTTTTCTAACATAAGGAACTGAATTCTGCCAGCAGCCATGTAAGCATGAAAGATGACCCCAAGTTTCACGGAGGATGCAGCCTGACTGACGCTTGAATTCAGCCTCATGAGAACCCAGATAAGCCATGCCCAGACTTCTGACCTACAAAAACTCAGATCATAAATGAATGTTGTTTTAAGCCACTAAGTTTCTGATAATTTGTTGCACATTAGAAAACTCAAACACTCACCAAACATCACCTGTCTTTTTCTTTAATATGGTGTAACTCTTACATGTCTCAAATTCTTTGCATATGCTTAAAATGATTTTTATTCTGCAGCTCCTAATTGAGGGGTAGTTATTTGTCTTTGCTACTCATTTTTTTAAAACTCTACACATAATAATTATTGGTTTAAACGTTTGTGTTTCCAACTAATTTCCTTGATGGTAGGGACAAGGGTCTCATCTTGAGATTTCCATATTAATTGGCTTACAGGAGATTTTCAATACGTCTTAGCTGAAATTGGTCTAATTGGGGAGAAGAAAAAAAACCTTAGTTTTTGTTTTGTTTTGTTTTTGAGATCGAGTCTTGCTCTGTCACCAGGCTGGAGTACAGTGGCAGAATCTCAGCTCACTGCAACCTCCACCTCCCAGGTTCAAGTGATTCTCCTGCTTCAACCTCCCAAGTAGCTGGGACTACAGGTACATGCCACCATGCCCAGCTATTTTTTTTTTTTTTTTTTTTTTTGCATTTTTAGTAGAGATGGGGCTTCACCATGTTGGCCAGCATGGTCTCAATCTCTTGACCTTATGATCCGCCCACCTGGGCCTCCCAAAGTGCTGGGATTACAGGAGTGAGCCACCACGCCTGGCCTACTCTATATCTTTAAGTATGTTTCTTTTTGTCATTTTTTCCTACAAAAGAAATAAACAGATTATAGACTTTAAAAATTTTTATACCATAGAAAAGCAGCACACTAAAGAACATGTGCAAATTCACACAGGAATTTCTAAATCCAATAGAATAAATAATAACCCCAATTCCTGGCCTATAATTATAAATGCTGCTACAATCTCTGTAACAGTCAATTTTTCTCAAAACAGAACAATGAAGGCTGCCAGCAAATTCACTAATTGCAGGATGAGAAAAAAAGAGTCTATGCTGACATTTCACAAAAGCCTTATTAGTATGCCATGATACTAGCAAAGCAACAAAATAAATGAGCTACACTTCTAAGGAGGATCAAGAATTCCAGCACACTTAAAGAGAAGAGATCCTCAAAAAAATGGGCATAGATTTGAGAAGTAGTATCTAAACAACATAATATATATGCCAGCGAATTAATCCTCAGCTATTTTGCTTTCTGTTATATGGGGTAATACTGCCCCTCATATTCTAACCCCTAAGGTAGACCTATTTCCAGGAAGAAATACTGGCAGTTAGGACTTAATTAGATGCCACTGTTATGATCCTCCTATGTAAACAACAATTGTTTGGAAAAAATGTAATTTGGGGTAAATAAAAGAAAGACATTTGTAGTGAAAATTAAACTTTTTTTTTAAAGAGCATCCCTTTCACTGTTGATGGGATAATAAACTATAATGCTATTTGTGGGGATGCAATTTGGCAATATTAAATTGCATTAAAAATCCTTTTTACTCAGCAGTTTCACTTCTAGAAACGTATTCTACAGAGCTACTAACAAATCACAAAATGATTTTCATCCATAAATAGCAACAGTGTGCCGGCCTTTGCACTGTCCAAGTATAATCGGCTATGCATGAAGGGCTTGATCCAGCAGCTCTACTCCAAACATGCTCCCCAAAACTCTGGCCGCACAAAATAGCACAGATAGATCTGTACAATTTCCAATGGTATCATCATCATTTTGAATCATCGCAGAAACAAGTAGGCCTGCACTTTTAATGAATATCTTAGTTATCTTAACTCTTTTCTTCTCTCATTTTCTGTGGGAGTGTAACTGGCTAATATTATGGTACAAAGGGTTAGTGTCAGGGCCTTTTCTGTAGTTCACTCTACTGAGGAATATTACAGGCCACAGTTGTTTAGAATATATAGCAAGTATCATGAGAACTTACAAAACTTTGGGGAGATCATAGAAAGAACATACACATATTCTCCTGTGAAAGCGGTTTAGTGACAAATCAACACAACAGTATGTTGCCTAACTCACCTGTATGTTATGTTAAAGGCAACATGCACTTTCATATAGTGAACCCACATTTTTCTCTTTAAATTATTTCTACTGGATCACCCTGTTTTCTCCCAGTTGAAGATGCTTGCTTCTTCTTTATGCAAAAGGAAAACATATTTACTGCATCCCTAGAACAGGATTATAGCTAAAATGCAGATTCTAGAGAGAAAATAAATAGCTGTATGATTTTAGGCACATTACTTAACCTGAGTTTCAGTTTCATTATTGATAAAATGGGGATGATTGTGTTGTTTACCTCATAAGCTAATTCGAGGATTAAATGAAGTCATGCACCCGTAATAAGTTCCCAATAAGAACCAGCTCTATCTTTTTAGTATTAATACATTAATAGCTTCACTTGGAGAAGTATTCTTTCTTAACTATCTTTTATTTTTATTCTATAACTTCAACTTTTATTTTAGGTTCAGAGGGTACACGTGCAGGCTTTTTACTTACATGGGCATATTGCATGATGCTGAGATTCGGAATACAATTGATCCTGTCACCCAGGTAGTGAGCATAATACCCAATAAGTAGTTTTTCAGCCTTTGCCCCACTCCTTCCCTTCTGGATTCCCTATTATCTATCATTCCTATCTTTGTGCTTTTGTGTACCCAATGCTTAGTTCCCACTCAGAACTGAGAACATGCAATACTTGGTTTTCTATTCCTGTGTTAATTTGCTTAGGATAATGGCCTCCAGCTGCATCCATGTTGCTGCAAAGGATATGATTTCATTCTTTTTTATGGCTGCATAGTATTCCATGGTGTATATGTACTATATTTTCTCAGTCCACATTGATGGCCATCTAGGTTGATTCCATGATGACTAGTTTTATTACACTGAAATGAATGCACCAGTGGCATAGCCTTTACTTCCTTCTATGCATACTGCACACATGCCACTGCCATGTTCATTTCAGAGGCCTAAAGATAGGTTTCATGCATGCAGATGCAGGGTAACCTGCTCTTGTCTTCAGCTGCCTGCCAGTCACTAACCAGGCACAAACCAGACAGCTACATAGACTCTTCTACAATTATCCCAATGCCTAATAGCCTACACCTCTCGCTACCTGGGGAGTCTTTTTTTCTTTGCACAAACTGCTAACAAAAACTTAAAGCAGACTTATATTCAAAGTTTTATCAGCTTTACAATACTTTTAAGTATAATCCAAATATTCAAAAATATTTTACGTGGGAAATAATATTTCATGCATGATTTTGAGTTTGATGGTTCAATGTAGATATATTATTTTCATATTCATAGACTAGGTTATATTTTGTTAAGTACTTAATATCCCATCCAAATCAATGTTTTTCAAGTTTTTACTACCATTGAAGTAATCCTCTCCTCATTTTTTAAAATTTGAATTAAATCTCCATTTATTCAGAAATTTTGGCTTGCAGTCATGAACCAATAGCCATTTTAGAAATCAGCACAGTGGACTCACATGTGGCTTGCCTTTATAATTGGGAGAATGAACCTAAAGGATGGGCTGGGGTGGTAGTGAGGAGTTGGGATTTTGGAGTTAAAGATGCAAACTCTGCTTCAATTTCTTGACAAGGTTCTCAACTGCTATGAGCCTCAAACAATGTGGAAAATACTTGTGTAAACTTCATCAGGGTGTTTAAGACTAAATGAGTCTTAAACAGGTATTTTGTTGAGCATCAGTGCCTGGTTTACAGTACAAATTCAATTTGCTGTCATCTTTAACAACCACATCAGGTCATAGAAATAGCCAGAAATAAGATTCAGAAGATACTTGTTCTCACTTAGGTATGTCATGTACTACCTGTTTTTTAGGTTGAGTCATTTTCCTTCCCTGGACTTTAATTTCCTCATCTGTATATATGAATGGATAGACTAATTTTCCCAAGCTATTCAGTTCTGAAAGTTCATTACTTCAATTAATTATTAATTCCAGGTCACAGATGTGATAAACACCAGTGACAATACTTTCATTCTTTTAAGATATTTATTGTAATAGACACTGTTCAAGACTAAGAAAGCCACATAAAAATAATGTCATGAACTTGCTTGGAAATTAGTAGTAGTAACTGCATATAATGAGGAAATGATGACACAGTGTGATCAATGCTATCACAAGGGAACTAACTTCAAGGTGGTAGTGGTGGAAGAGAGGTAGGAATTCAGAGATGGTCTCCTTACAGAAGTAATATCTCAACTGAGAACTGAGGCATATATAGGAGTTACTCTCAAAACTCAAAAAAATCACTATGAAAACAACCTTTTCCCCTTACTCTTAACAAAGACTTGAGTCATTTGAATTATTGATTTTTCATTCATCAACCATCTCTTGTGAATTTGAGTGTGTCAAACTCTAGTCACAACTTGTTGTGTATTTGTTGTATTTAATTTGCTGTGGGCAATAAAATCAACCGGTGTTCTGAAAATCGAGTTTTTTTTTTTAAAGTGCTAAGGATAATGCATTTTTTGATTATTCAACATCCTTTGTTTTACTTTTTTTAAATTGTAAGTTCTGGGGTACATGTGCAGAATGTAGTTTTGTTACCTAGGTATACACGTGCCGTGGTGGTTTGCTGCCCCCATCAGCCATCATCTACATTAGGTATTTCTCCTAATGCTATCCCTCCCCTAGCCCCCCCACCCAACAACAGGCCCTGGTGTGTGATGTTCCCCTCCCTATATCCATGTGTTCTCATTGTTCAACTCCCACTTATGAGTGAGAACATGTGGTGTTTGGTTTTCTGTTCCTGTGTTAGTTTGCTGAGGATGATGGTTTCCAGCTTCATCCATGTCCCTGCAAAGGACATGAACTCATGCTTTTTATGGCTGCATAGTATTCCATGGTGTATATGAGCCACATTTTCTTTATCCAGTCTATTATTGATGGGCATTTGGGTTAGTTCCAAGTCTTTGCTATTGTGAATAGTGCCACAATAAACATACATGCGTATGTGTCCTTATAGCAGAATGATTTATAATCCTTTGGGTATATTTCCAGTAATGGGATTGCTGGGTCAAATGGTATTTCTGGTTACAGATCCTCAAAGAATCGCCACAGTGTCTTCCACAATGGTTGAACTAATTTGCACTCCCACCAACAGTGTAAAAACATTTCTATTTCTCTACATCCTCTCCAGCATCTGTTGTTTCCTGACTTTTTAATGTTCACCATTCTAACTGGTGTGAGATGGTATCTCATTGTGGTTTTGATTTGCATTTCTCTAATAACCAGTGATGATGAGCTTTTTTTTAATGTTTATTGGCTGCATAAATGTCTTCTTTTGAGACGTGTCTGTTCATATCCTTCGCCTACTTTTTGATGGGATTTTTTTTCTGGTAAATTTAAGTTCTTTGTAGATTCTAGATATTAGCCCTTTGTCAGATGGATAAATTGCAAAAATTTTCTCCCATTCTGTAGGTTGCCTGCTCACTCTGATGATAGTTTCTTTTGCTGTGCAGAAGCTCTTTAGTTTAATTAGATCCCATTTGTCAATTTTGGCTTTTATTGCCATTGCTTTTGGTGTTTCAGTCATGAAGTCTTTGCCCATGCCTATGTCCTGAATGATACTGCCTAAGTTTTCTTCTAGGATTTTTATGGTTTTAGATCTTACATTTAAATCTTTAATCCATCTTGAGTTAGTTTTTGTATACGGTGTAAGGAAGGGGCCCCGTTTCAGTTTTCTGCATTTGGCTAGCCAGTTTTCCCCACATCATTTATTAAATAGGGACTCCTTTCCCCATTGCTTATGTGTGTCAGGTTTGTCAAAGATCAGATGGTTGTAGATGTGTGGCATTATTTCTGAGGCCTCTGTTCTGTTCCATTGGTAAGTTGACTTTGTTACTGAACGTCAGATACTGGGATATATTTTTTAAATGACCTCTTGATAAGTGAGGGTTTGTATTTTTGTTTTTTAGAATAGGTGGAGAGACAAAAAAAAGTCAAACATTGTTATTGAAAGGGAGTTTTTAAGTAATTTAAATTTTAATTTAAAATGTCCATTAATGGAAATTTCAGAGCCATAATTTTCTTGGAAAAAATATTTCTTGCATGCAATCCCTAGCATAATACGCTATAATAATGCCTGATGGAAGTATAAGTTTAACGTCTAAGTACATACAAAAAAAGGGAAAAGAAGTAAGAATTCTATTGCTGAAGGTAGAATTTTGCTCTTAAAGAGGGGAAATGGCTGTGTGGTAAGTTTTAGTAATAATTTTCACCAAAAACATGGCAAAAATAATACATATAGAGCAAAAGGAAATGGGTAGGAACAAAAAGCCTTACCTGACTGCAAAGTTCACATCATACATTTGGGTTGGGGAAACTCATCATTTTGAGACATTTGATTATTGGTTTTTAATTTAATTAATGATCTATTTTCACGTACCTTTCACTAGATGAATTACGGGTTACAGTTTCTATATTAATTGTCCAGTATCTCTTTACTCCCTGAAAATAAGAATGTGATTTACTTAAATATTATACTCTGATTTTTTTAAAAAGACGGTAAAGTTTATAAAGAAATGAGCAGTTTAATTGCATATTTTACGTCTACAATATTTAGAAAATACTCAGCATAAAAACTCACAATAAAAAATAAGACCAGAGAAGTAATTTGAAATTATATATAGTTCCAGCTTCATAAGTTTTAAAAGGAATGGATTTTAAGATTATTTTTTAATTAGGATCAAGAGTCTTCCAGGGCTGCTTATGAGGATGGACTTGGGACAGTTCTAGGTAAACAGTATATGCTCAAATAAACATTTTTTTCTTTTCTGTGGCATTACAGCAGCCTTGGCATCGAAGCCTTGTAATTTACCAGAAGTATATTAATTTGTCTAACCCTGCTCTTTAAAGCGTGTGTGTGGGGCAGGGGAAGGGGAGTGAGCGTGCACGCATGTAACATTATTTGGGACAAATTTGCCTCAGATTAATACCAACAAGTTTGTAGAGGATAATTTATTGATGTATGGATTTATGATACTCTCACTGCTATAGCAAATGAAGGGAAAAAGTAAATCTGCTTCTCCCTCCTTTTCCACTCTCCTTCTCTAGAAGGGCTTTAAATCCCAGAGACTCTGGCTTTTTTCAAGTCAGAGTAAGGAGAATTTTTGTGTTCTTAATACTAGACATCTAACAGTGTATATATATAATGCAAAGCTGAGGTGCCCTAGTGGGTGGAAGAACATGAGAGCTTAGAGATTGAATAGTTAGGATATTTCAGTTGCAAAAACAAACAAATAAACAAAAACAAACCACCACCACCAAAAAAAAAACCCTAAAAATAAAATAAGTAAATAAACTGGAACATTAAAGAGACTGCAAGTTGCAGCATATGAAATGCTAGATAACTCAGAATATTTTCACTACAAGCATATAGAAATGCTACATAAAATATAACCTCGTATCACATGCATACCTAAGACAATAGACAAAAGCATATCATAGGGCCTAACATGAAGAGCAAACAAAATCCTGTGTGATGAGGCTGTGGCTGTCCTAATGGCAGGGGCCCTGTCAATCCTAGTAATTAAGAGGCTTGAGTTTTACTGCCCAAAGACAGAAGAGTGGTCCCTGGACCTAAGTGAAGCAAAAAGTTGGAACTGAGATGAGTGTATAAAGCTAAGATGCTTACGGTGCTTTCTCATCAGGAGGTGAAATAGAAAAAGAAAACAAAATATCACAAGAAAGCAATTAAAAATTCGTTTCTTAACCTTGGGTATGGATTTGGGCAAAGACACATTCTCCATGAAAAATTCTAACCATAAACTTATGCATCATATGGATTTGAGATTGAAACTTATACAAATAGTTTCTAATCCATCAACTCAAGTTATCAGATGTCAACATGGTCGGAAGCTGCTGAGGTTCCTGGAGTACTCGTCAGAAGCCAATGAAAAAAACACCCTAGACTCTGACTCTGACTCTGACTCTGACTCTGACTCTGACTCTGACTCTCACTCTGACTCTCACTGACTCTAACTCTGACTCTGACTCTGACTCTGACTCTGACTCTCCCTCTCCCTCTCCCCACAGTCTTCCTCTCCCTCTCCCTCTCCCCACGGTCTCCCTCTCCCTCTCTTTCCACGGTCTCCCTCTGATGCCGAGCGGAAGTTGGACTGTACTGCCGCCATCTTTGCTCACTGCAACCTCCCTGCCTGATTCTCCCGCCTCAGCCTGCCGAGTGCCTGCGATTGCAGGCGCACGCCGCCACGCCTGATTGGTTTTAGTATTTTTTTGGTGGAGACGGGGTTTCGCTGTGTTGGCCGGGCTGGTCTCCAGCTCCTAACCACAAGTGATCTGCCAGCCTTGGCCTCCCGAGGTGCCGGGATTGCAGATGGAGTCTCATTCACTCAGTGCTCAATGTTGCCCAGGCTGGAGTGCAGTGGCGTGATCTCCGCTCGCTACAACCTCCACCTCCCAGCCGCCTGCCTTGGCCTCCCAAAGTGCCGAGATTGCAGCCTCTGCCTGGCCGCCACCCCGTCTGGGAAGTGAGGAGCGTCTCCGCCTGGCCGCCCATCATCTGGGATGTGAGGAGCCCCTCTGCCCGGCTGCCCAGTCTGGGAAGTGAGGAGCACCTCTTCCCAGCCGCCATCCCGTCTAGGAAGTGAGGAGCGTCTCTGCCCGGCCGCCCATCGTCTGAGATGTGGGGAGCGCCTCTGCCCCGCCACCCAGTCTGGGATGTGAGGAGCGCCTCTGCCCGGCCGTGACCCCGTCTGGGAGGTGAGGAGCGTCTATGCCCGGCCGCCCCGTCTGAGAAGTGAGGAGCCCCTCCACCCGGCAGCCGCCCCGTCTGAGAAGTGAGGAGCCCCTCCGCCCGGCAGCCGTCCCATCTGAGAAGTGAGGATCCCCTCCGCCCGGCAGCCGCCCTGTCTGGGAAGTGAGGAGCATCTCCGCCCGGCAGCCGCCCCGTCCGGGAGGTGGGGGGCAGCCCCCGGCCGGCCAGCCGCCCCGGCAGGGAGGGAGGTGGGGGGCAGCCCCCGCCCGGCCAGCCACCCCGTCCGGGAGGTGGGGGGCAGCCCCCGCCCGGCCAGCCGCCCCGTCTGGGAGGTGGGGGGCGCCTCTGCCCGGCCGCCCCTTCTGGGAAGTGAGGAGCCCCTCTGCCCGGCCGCCACCCCGTCTGGGAGGTGTACCCAACAGCTCATTGAGAACGGGCCATGATGACGATGGCGGTTTTGTCGAATAGAAAAGGGGGAAATGTGGGGAAAAGATAGAGAAATCAGAGTGTTGCTGTGTCTGTGTAGAAAGAAGTAGACATAGGAGACTCCATTTTGTTCTGTACTAAGAATTCTTCTGCCTTGGGATGCTGTTGATCTATGACCTTACCCCCAACCCAGTGCTCTCTGAAACATGTGCTGTGTCCACTCAGGGTTAAATGGATTAAGGGCGGTGCAAGATGTGCTTTGTTAAACAGATGCTTGAAGGCAGCATGCTCGTTAAGAGTCATCACCACTCCCTAATCTCAAGTACCCAGGGACACAAACACTGCGGAAGGCCCCAGGGTCCTCTGCCTAGGAAAACCAGAGACCTTTGTTCACTTGTTTATCTGCTGACCTTCCCTCCACTATTGTCCTATGACCCTGCCAAATCCCCCTCTGCGAGAAACACCCAAGAATGATCAATAAAAAAAAAAAAAAAAAGAAAAGAAAAAACACCCTAGAGAAAGAACATAGCACTAGTCCCAGCATGGTGACTTATGCCTGTAATCCCACACTTTGGGAGGCTGAGGCAGGAGGGTAACTTGAGCCCAGAAGTTCAAGACCAGCCTGGGCAACATAGCAAAACCCCATCTCTATAATTTTTTTTTTAAAAAATTAGCTGGGCATAATGATGAATGTCTCTAATCCCACCTAACTGGGAGGCTGAGCCCAGGAGTTGAAGGCTGCAGTGAGCCATGATCACACCCCTGTACTCTAGCCTGGGTAACAGAGTGAAATCTCGTCTCAACAAAATGAAACACAAACCACATAGCACCTTTGGCTACAGAGGATTCTATCAGATACAATACCACCGAAATAAGCAGGCAATAAAAAATTATAAAACACAAAAGGATATCCTCTAGGATGAGAATTAATAGACACAATAGGATGGCTAAAACCAAGAATTTCAGATAAAACAAAATCTAAAAAAACAATATAAAAGTAAGCCTAGGACAATTTAAAAATAAAGAGAACTGTTTAAAACTAGAGAGAAAGACTTTGAAAAAAATATTTAAAGTTACTAAAGGTATGCCTAGAAACAAATCACTGAAATTTACAATTCAATCATTTTGTAACCACCAGGTCATCAGAAGTTAGAAAAAATGGCAATAACAAGTGTTGTTAAGGATATGGAGCAATGAGAACTCACTTCACACACTCCTGGCTAGGGGTGCGATTTGGAAAAACACGCATCACCTAGTAAGCTGAAGGTGCCCATAACCTCGTATCCCTGCACAATTCTGCTTTTGTGCATTTAGATAAATACCCTAGAGACTCTTGCCCTTGTGTAGTAAGAGCTGCACAAGAATTTTTATAAAAGTGTAATCATTCAGAACTGGCTTCAGCACTAAAGAAGAAAGGTATAATCAACAAGAAATGTTAAAGATTGTAGTATATTCACACAATGCAATACTGTATAGCAAGGGGAAAAAATAAAGATACCAATTTGGATGCATCTCAGGAATAGATACTTGTTTTATGTCTGACAAATGTTTTTTCCCTCTGATAACCTTTCCTCTGAAGTATGGTTCTATTTTTATAAAAATCAAAAAATTATAAGACTAGCCAGTATACTGCTTATATATCCATAACTACATAGCAATATTTTAAAAGAAAAGAATGTTAAACTCATGAAGAGATAAAACTTGACATGGTTCCAAAATGAAAAAAAAATTGTATTTCAATAGAAAAACAAGTTTATTAGATAACTATATGGAATGTACTCCACTAAGTCTCATTTTCAATTTTTCCTCTCTCTGTTCCAATTGCTTCCTGCAGCTGATTTTTTTGGGTAGTTTCTACTTTCTCCCTCTGATATTTTGTGTTATACACAAAAGGCAGCATGCTATATCACTACAGCATTTATTTTTCTGCTGTATCAGTCAGGGTTCTCCGGAGAAACAGAGCCAATATGAAAGAAGATAAAGAGATTGACTTTGAGCTTTTGGGATTTTAATGAATTGGCTCAACTTGATTGTGGAGCTGGCAAGCTCAAAGTTTTTAGGGCAGGCAAGCAAGTTGGAAATTCAGGCAGCATTTCTATGCTTCAGTCTTGAGGGAGAATGCCTTCTTCTCCAGGAAACCTCAGATTTTGCTCGAGACCATCAACTGATTGGATGAGGCCCACTCACACTATACAGGGTAATCTGCTGTACTTAAGGCCAACTGATTGTACTACATTTGATCTTAGCCAAAATGCTGAGAAGCAATCCAGCTGACTGTAAATGTTACACTTACAAAGTATCTTCACAGCAATATCTACATTAGTGTTTCACCAAACAGCTGGGCACATAACCTAGCCACGTTGACACATCAAATTAACCATAATATTTACCTCGCTACCTACCATTCTATATGATGTTTTTCCATTTCCCAATATAGCATAAAGATGATGTCATGTTTACACACAGATATCTTCCTCCTTCACTTTTGCTGACTTTATTGTATAAATATGTTTTTTATTCAATCAAGTCTTTGTTAATGGATGTTTCAACTCTTGTTTTAAAAATAGTGCAAAAAGATCTTGCACATATGTTTCATAACTGTTTCAGCATATTTTAGAAGTAGATTCATAGGTTTGGTATTATTGATAAAATTAATATGTACTTTTCTTTGACACTGAGTTCCCCCTCCATGGCAGTTGGACATTTTAGCTCTGTGTTCAGCAATATAAGAGGTCTATTTTTTGGCATAACTTCTCACCAAAAAGCAATTATATTGTTAAACCTTTAAACTTTTTTCCCAATCTGATAAAAATAAGGAAACCTAGAGGAACAATAAAAGCTATCTGCATAGGAAACTTTTTCACCTCTCAGTAGGCCCAGCCCAAAGCCACCTTCTACTAAAGGAGGTCCAGGAGACTCAATCAGATCTAGGCTCCTCCATTGCAGGAGGGGCAGGAAACACGCTCTCACACAAGACTAACACAAGGCAGAGTTTTGCAGCCCTGGCAGGGGGAACAGGAACACCGAGAAAGCCCCACTGTGAGGTTTAATGCACAGGATCTGCCTAAGACAGAGGCTGGATTAGGAGAATTAAGAATACCTTCTGCCCACCAGGAGGCTTGAATCAAGTAACAAGCAACATCAGTTCCCCCCATTCAATGGGTGGGATTTTTCAAGGGATTGGTCAGGTTCCCTGGAACAACGTGAACCTCCAGATAGAAATCAGGAGCTGACGGCAATGGTATAAATGTTTAATGGGGGACAACCACAAATGCGCAGTGTAGGCTGGATTCTTGAGGGAGCTTCCTCCAATGGAAAAAGAAAGCAGGTTTGAGATTTTCTTGTGAGGGTTACATTTCCATAAGAGAAGAAGGCTGCATCTGCATGGTGACTTGTATTTTCTGATATGACAGTTCCTCCACTAGATGCTAGTGAAGGTTAGGGTGGAGCAGGGAGGCAGAATAGGTGGAGGCAGCCAGCTAGCAATTAGGCAGGTAAGGCCCACCCGGTTGATCTGGTGGAGGAGCAAAGACTTCTGAAAAGTGACACTCTTTGACTACTTCTCACAGCCTTGCTCTTAGAGTACTTCAACTGTCCCAGTGCTCTAACATCTGACTGCCACTGCATGTTCAAGTTGTACGTCAATAGTTATGTGTCTTAAACTGAGAAGTAATACCACTAGATGAACTCTAGGAAAGAATCTACTCTTCTGTTAGCATTTTAGTGTCTCTTCCATCATGGCATAGAGCTGTTATAAAGGGTCACCAGGCCTACAGTCAGTACACAGTGACAAACTCACCCTTCCCCAAATAGACTATCAATCTTGGACAGTGAGCCCCATAATAAATTGGACTTTGTGGATGCTTTTTACATGCCCCAGAGACACAGAGTTACCCTGATTTTTGAGACAGTAGGAAGGAGGAAGGTGTCCCAAAACTTGGCAGCTGGAAAGTGGGTTCTCAGAGTTTAATTCAATTTATTATAAAGAAATGAATGTGTTTTTCTTATACTTAGATATATGGAACAAAATTCATACTCATTTTATATAAATGAGTTTCAACTGTGTATTGCAGAATGTATCTAATAAACTATAAATCCTCAAATTTCCTCAAATCATCTCTTCCAGAGAACATTTGAACAATTAAATACATATTGGATTTTGACAGAAAGGTTGTAAGCAGAAATAAGGAAAACGTGTCTTTCATATATCATGACAATTACATTTCTGACCTGCCCAAGAAATTGTTCCACTTAGAGACCTAGAGGGACTAAATGATCTTTAAAGGTCCCTGGAATAGAAATACTGACACCTTTGAAAATGTATTTCAGTGCTATTGAATATGGCAAATTTTTT
Source organism: Homo sapiens (assembly GCF_000001405.40). Lineage (NCBI taxonomy): Eukaryota > Metazoa > Chordata > Mammalia > Primates > Hominidae > Homo > Homo sapiens. The sequence goes on along the minus strand of NC_000005.10, from coordinate 152,475,386 downwards.
GTACAGAATGCTGAGGGTAGACTGAATTGATATAATCCTTTTTAGTAGACATTATTCCACCAATGCTTTCTATTTAAGAGTTCCACTGGAGACAGTGATAGTTACACCAGTTTAAAATGGGTTAGCAAGAGAGAAATTCAATTACACAACTGCCATGAGAAATAAATCTAAATGTTAATATTTCCCTATCCCAGACTCCTCTGGGTCTGGATTTGAAAGAGCTGTAGCAAACCAGAATGTTATCAAAGAGAATTGCTAGACCAATAGCACCCTGAGGAGACATAGTAAGATCACTTTCATGATAAGATGGAATCCAATTAGAACCTGGCCACACAGGAAATGCCTTTAAAGTAAATCAACACATGACCTTTCCTAATGCCTATATTCAAATCCAATACAAGGTGAGAAAGGTTTCAGTCTCGAGGCTGATAGAAACAAGCATTCCTCAACTATGTATCTCTTAATGGGCAAATGTGTCCAACCACAGGCATTGATGGAAAACCAACAGTTTGCTTAACCCTGGAACAGTCATTAGAAGGTTCTCATAATCAACTACACCGGGTATTTATAGAACACTTTACCATTTACAAACCAGTTTCACACACACACACAAACCCACATAAAGCACTATATTTCCCTACTTCTGGAGACAGAGATTAGATTGTGGGTTGGGAGAGTAAGAGCAGATAATGAATATCCTTGAAACAAGTAAATGTACCACTATAGTTGTACATTTTCTGCAATGAGCGAAATGCATACTGTATTTCAGGAAATGTGTTGATTGCTTTACATGTTAAGTTTTATTTATTCAAAAATATATGTAAAGCAGATGCTTGGTACAGTGCTGGGGGGCACTGAAGATACAATAATTAGCTTTAAAAAAAGAAAAACAACAAGACTGATCCCTGGTCTCATGAAACCCATACTTTGGTTGAGGAAGACGGATTAATCAAATTAATCCTACTAACAAATGCACAAAATCGTGAATGAGTGCTCTTAAAAGAGTCTGGCTGTACTTAAGCATGTAAGAAAGGAAATTGACCTAGTAACAGATGTCAGGAAAGCTACCCTGAACAAGTGACAGTTGAGTTGGGCTGCAAGAATATGCACATCCATATTCTGACAACAACAAGATAAGAGAGGTATTAAGTTACTCCCCATTTCAATGTTAGGAAAACTGAGGCTTAGAGGTTAAGGAATCTTTCTAAGTTCTCAGAGCTGGTAAGAAGCTACACTCAAATACAAGAGCCTCCAACTCCAAAGCTTTCACCTGCAACCACTTTATGATGCAAAAATGTCCATGCACTGTGTCAGTGTTTCTCAAAGGGTGGTCCCAGGATGGGCAACATCAGCTTCACCTGGGAACTTGTTAGAAATTTGCATTTCTAACAGTTAAGCTGAAATCAAAACTCTGGGGTTGGCGCCTGGCAATCTATGTTTAACAATTCTTTCAGAGGGTTCTGGTGCACAGAATCCTGTTTGAGAATCATTATATTATGGTATTTCAAGGGAAAAAGGGTTTTCAGGGCTATAATCATCAAGCAGTTCTCATAAAAGATTTGCTTCATGTTCCACCTGACTTCGATTGATGATCAGTTAATAAGAAACAAGACTTGCAAAAGCAATGGTTTACTTAAGATTGCTATATATGTTTGCTATAAGAAATTATGTATTTGTTTACTTGAGACATAAAATGGTACAGAAAATTGAAGTCACTCATTTTGGCTGCAGATTAACGCAACAGCCCTGTGATACTGAACCTACTACTCTTTAAACTCACCAGACTCATGTGGATGAAACCATCCTGAGTGGATTCTCTTAGGCAGAAGGCATGCAACTGATTCACCCCTACAGCTGTGGAAATGTCTTTAAGTTGCCTACGGTAGACTCATAACACAATGCTAAGGCCCATTTCTCACAAACTCACTTTCTTCCCTTCTCCTCAAACTTTGCAGGTAGCAGCAAGATTTAATTCTCTCAAATTTTGCTCATCATGGGCATTGTGGTTGTCTCCTCACTGCACATTCTCCTTCCTTCAGCACATTTGAAGCTCTCCCCTGCCATCTATGAGCTCTGGAAGAAGCCTACCTCTTTGTATAACTTAGACATGAGCTAATCAGCAACTCAGGGGTAAACTAATGAGCATGTTCTCATCCCTGATCAACCAAAACCAGACCAATCAGAAGTAAGGCATGATTTGCTGGAACTTTGAAGAAAACAACTTCCTTGTTCTTACAGTCAGAGCTTAAGGAGCTGCCTTCTCTCCCTGTGTATGCATTAGGAAGCATGCGTCTCCAGGAATTGTTGGCAGTCCTGTTTCAACTATAAAAAAAAAGCTGGTACTGCATAGGGCTAAGGGGGAAAATGAAGGGATGTAGATGGATCCTTGATGGTATTATTGAAATGCTGAATCAAACTAGTTCTGAAATTCACTTAATCTCTAGACTTGCCAGTTACATGAGCCAATCAATCTCCTTTATTAATTCGAACTAAGTTTTTTTCTTATTTGTAGCCCTAACACATCTGAAATGACATTGATCACTCCATTAAGGAGGGCAATTTGACAATGTTGAGAAGCCCTGAAAGTGTATGTACCTTCTGAGCCAGCAGTTTCTCTAAGAATTTATCCTAAGGAAATAGTTGAACAGCTATAAAGATATTTATATGCACAAGCTGATTCATGATATTCTTTAGCACAATACTCTCAATGATCTAAATTTCTAGTGTGGCTAATTAAGTAAATTGGAATATAAAGATACTACTGAATACTATCCAGCCTTGGAAACTGATAAACAAGGCAGCTGCACATTTGTCAGTGAAAGCTGAATCAAATTAGTTGATTTGACTCTACCTCTAAAGGAGGAGTGTGGTAGGCTTTTTCCAGAGCTCATAGATGGCAGGGGAGTGGGGAAAAAAAAACAGGTAATAATGGGCTTTATTAATCCATTTTTATTAAAAAAAAGTACAATAATGATGCTAATGCCTTTTTGAGCTTTAAGTATCAAGAGCTTTGCAAACATTATTGCAGAACTTCTCAGTCCTCCTGGCTGCATCATAGTGACCTAGATAAATCACTAAAAACAACAACAGAAATAAACCTGCCAAGCCAAGGCAGCACAATTACATCAGGCTCTCTGGGGAGGTGGGATGCAAATATTGGAATTTTTCAAAGATCTTGGATGATTCTAATGTGCAGTGAGGATTGAAAATCATGGTATTTTCTCTTTTATCCTCAGAACAATACTGTGTTATTTGTATCATCACCTTCCTTGTATGGATGAACAAGTCTCAACAAGGTTAAATAACTTGCCTCCTATAACATAACAGAGCCTTGACTCTACCCAGGGCTGTCTGACCTTAAAAACCATGATCTTGACAATGACATCAAATTGTCTTTTAGTAAACTAGAGTGATTATGCAAGGAAACTGGGTGCAAAGCAAAAGGAAAAGACCAGAAGATTTCCAAAAACATAGTCGAGTCTCCAAGTGGTAGAATTACAAATACTTTGTAATTTATTTGTTTACAAATATACATGCTGTTTTAGCTGATCAATATGCCTTTGTGTTGTAAATATTTGCACACGTGTGTATGTTGTATATACACATTATGTCATGATTACTGCTCTGTTGCATCTCACTTCTTCAAAACCTCAGCTATGCCTTTGCAGCACATCCACTGTGCTGCCATCCAGAACACCACCCCAACTTCTCTGGAGATAATCATGCTATTGCATAATGGGCTTATTCAAGAAGTTCAGGTAGCTCACCCGCTCCCACCCCACTTGGCTCCAGACTCCTCCCTACTTTAACAGAGCAATTCCATCTTCCATGCTATTTCTGAATATCAAACTGCCCATATTCCCAGTTTATCTTAAAACTCTAGCTCTGAGTTCAAAGGTAACATTTCAACATATTAGAAATAAGCATCAAAAATCACAGCCACCCAAGGATACTGAAGCTTACAAATGAACTGAAATTAACAAAAAATCATATGTGAATCACAAGCTAGCTTAAAAACTTAAAATACACCTATTTGAAATGTTAATATAGTCAAACAATTTATTCTGACATCATTTAAAAACAAAAGTTTTACTGAACTTTCGAAAAGTTGATTTAGCAAAATTGTGTTTTAGGTGAATATAGTTTCAGACAATCCCTCCACTGCAATTTCATCCTGGTCTGCTGAGTAAATATAGAATGTGCTTTCTTAAGGAGATGAACACTCAGTTGAAACAGAGATGCACTATTTTCTGATAATGTAGTTCTCAGAGTGCTTGTTTTGACTGTCAACACTACCACAACCACATATATTGTCCTTAAAATTTTTCTCATCTGTATTACTCAAGAAGCCCATTTTTTATAAATACAGACCTGTGAATTTGGCTCACAGGGTAGAAAAATTCACAGAGCAAAGCTTACTACTAGAAAAAGAACTCCAGGACTCAGGTCCCAGACCCTCAATCCAGGACAGTAGATGAATTAATTTTCTACAGCTGCTGCAACAAATTGCCATCGACTTAGTGGCTTTCACACACACACACACACACACACACACACGTATTATAGTTCTGAAGGTCAGAAGTCTGATAGGGGTCTCACTAAGCTGTGTCTCTTTCTGGAAGCTCTAGGAAAGAATCTTATTTCTTGCTTTTTGCAGCTTCTAGGAACTTCTGGCATTGCTTGGCTTCTGGCCCCTTCCTCCATCTTTAACCAAAGCCAGAGACATGGAGCTAAGTCCCTCCCATGCTGCAGTCTCTCTGGTTCTCTCTTCCATAGTCACATCTCCCTCTGACCCCAGGTAGGAAAGGTTTTCTGTAACACTTGGAAGAACTCATGTGATTAGATTGAGCTCACTCAGAAAATCCAGGGTCATCTTCCCATCTCAGGTCCTTAATTTAATTGTAGCTGCAAAATTTCTTTTGTCATGTAAGGCAACATATTCACAACTTCTGAGAATCAGGATGTGGGCATCTTTGTGGGGAGGCACTAGTCTGCCTGTCACAGTAAGTGTCAGTATGATTTTCTGTCCTAGCACAGCTGAGAGATAGGACATTCTCGTTAACAGCAACTTGCCAAGAAAATGACTCCCAGGCATAGAAATGCTCACCCAACGAAGTCCATAAGAATGGGGGTAGAAGTGAGAAAGAAAAACCATTTTACAAAGCGATTTCTTTAATCACTGATGCAGTCTATTTTAGAAATAGTATAAACCCTTAACACTGTAACTATACCAGCATTTTTTCTTGCATATTCTCATATAATACTTCTATAAATTATACGCAAGGGACACGTTTTACTGGTACAGATACACAAGAAAGCAAGATTAGGAGTATTTCTATAGAAAAAATATATGAATTTTCATGTAGGAGCTCAGCAAATGAGAATTTACAGGTTGTACTTTCATATACTATTTATTTCCGATCTTGTAGGAAATCTGAACTTTACTGGCAAGAAAATGCATGTCCTTAAATGGGTAAAAAATAACTGGTAACTCAAATTCCTGAGCGCAAAAAAGTCGAGCCTCTAAGTCAAATAGTCCTTTCCATTAGTAAGTTGCTCAAGGCAATGCCACAGCCCTAAATCAAGAGATCTGGCAATGCCTAACCACAGGTGAAAACCTTTTATCTCTGACATCTTCTCTTTGCATAGCCCTTCGACACAAAGACCCTTGGCCGGCACTGACCACCCTGACAGAGAAGTGGCATTTACCTTCAATGCCCTGAGCTGTCCTTCCTTTTCCCTCCCTGCAAATATCCAATCCTTCCACCCTCTCTCCACACTTCTTTAAAAGATAAAGAACTGCACTCTTTGTCTTTACTGAATAAACATTGTATTGTAAGCCAGGCCCTCAACTAGCTGGTTTGTTCCTCATAGACCCTGTAGCCGAAATGTGGATGGCTCTCATTAGAAGTCGAGGAATGTGTAGCCTCTGTACACACTACCTCTTCGTGTACACACTACCTCTTCATGCACAGATAAACGAGAAACAGCTAAAAAGTTACCTAGTTAGACCTTTTCATAAGTTTTGATTAAAATATACAAATATTATTTTAAGGCATTTAGATCAAATTTTCATGTGCATGTTTTAGCCAAGTTTTAAGGAATAAAAAAGAAAGGTTGATATCAGTCTCTTCATTTAGTCTATTTAATCTTTATATTTATTCCTATGGCTACATAGAACCACTCTAGTTTTAACTCCAGGGTGCTTTCAATACAGTGTACTCTCCCTAGCATTAGTTTTATTCCTGGGCACAATTTCTAAGGGGCAAATTGATTGCTGTTTCTGGTACATCATAGAAAAAAGGTCACAGCAAGCTACCATCTTCATTGGCAAGCATTAAGTTAAATTGTTAATTTGCCCCATCCAGAACACTTGTACAGAGTTTAGTTGGAAATGAAAGCTTCTGATTTTGGATCTTGATCTTTGTCAATAATCTTTCAGTCTTTTTTGCTATTTCCTCTGTTCCTAAGCCAAACAAACAAACAAACAAACAAAAAACCCCAAACCAAAGACAAATAAAAAAACTACAAAGCCATTGGGCTAGGGAGTGCCTGACTTACAAGTTAAATGTTTCTTGGATTAATTTAGTAGTTATTAAAGTGGAGTAGCTCTTCATTTCCCTTTGACTGTATCACTTAATGAGAATTTGTTCAGTAAAATAAATCTTTCCAGGGTTCAGGGAGCAGACATGTCCACAGTTATCCTCCCCAAAAACCTGCATCTAGGTTCTTCAGGGACTTTATCTTTTTGCTCTTATTAGCACAACACGCAAAAATAATGTTTTTATCTAATAATATAGGTGTGTAGCTTAAAAGGCAAACTGTATGACAACAGCACCAACACCAGTTGCCTTCTGCTTGACTATGCCACATAATGAATTCCCACTCAAGATAGCAATGGCCTAGGTGACTTAATTCTCCAAACAAATGAATTCCTTGATCACTCATCAAAAGGTAGAGGGAAAAGGTATTTTAATGTGCTCCATCAAGTCAGGGTGAGGGAACTCAGGAAACTTCTGAGCAAAGTTTTCTTGCTAATAAAGATATAATTCCCACAGAAGAAATCTTTTTGGTGACACAGTCTGGACCATATTTATTAACCCTGTTTCTAACATTACCCCTGCTGTCTGCCTGTCCCCCTCACCCACTTTTTATTTTTTGAGATGAGGTCTCACTCTATCACCCAGGCTGGAGTGCAGTGGTGCAATCATGACACTCTGCAGCCTTGACCTCCCATGCTCAGGTGATTCACCCACCTCAGCTCCCTGAGTAGCTGGGACTATAGACACATGCCACCTTGCCTGGCTTATTTTATTTTGTTGGTAAAGACCGGGTTTTGCCACATTGCCCAGGCTGGTCTTGAACTCCTGGACTCAAGTGATTCGACCATCTCAGCCTCCCAAAGTGCTGGGATTGTAGGCACCATGGCTTATCATGGGCCATCACCCACTTTTTAAAACTGTTTCTGTGGAACATCTGACTATGCATACATCTCTTCGGATGGTGGTTTGCAGGTAATAAAGTTTCAAGTTTATGGAAGCAAATGTATCTTTGTACTTATTCATTTACAATCAACCTCTCACACCAACTCAAAAAAGGAAGGCCCTTTCTTATCTCTCCTGCAAGAAGGAGTTAAAGAAGTATCTTCTGCTTTCCCCCTTTACTTCACGAGAATAGAGACAGAAGAGTCAGCCCTGGCTATCACTTATTTCCATAAGTCACTTCTGCCCATTTGCTAGTCATAACGCAGTTCTTCTTGGAATACAGATACAGTGTTGTCTCTCCAACTTCTATATTGTCTCATGCAGATTTGCAAGAATATTTTCAATTGAGGATTCATAATGCATTCAGGTCACAGTCATCACAATCTTTCCCCCTGCAACAGCTTGCTTTATAGTTTTCCAATCTTCTCTGCAAGTGTATGAGTTGTTACCTCTTGAGTATTCATCTTTAAGATATTTCCTTCTCTTGTCATGTCCTTCCTTCACGGACACTCTAAGTCTTGCCTATTTCTTTTTAATCCCCCTCGGCCTCCTTGTCATTGAGAAAATACTGGCTAGAATGCCAGGCCCCTCTTTCTCTTCCTCTCCCCCAGGTCTGTCTCAAATGTTTCATAAAATTTTGGTCCACAACCACCTCAGATTATGCTACAGAGATGGCCAGGCCTTCTGCCAACCCATAGCCCATTTGCTTCAACAATTTTTTGGTTCAAAAGTGAAAATTTTCTATAGAGTCAGCAAGAACTTAGTTTCCTTCATACAGCCAAGATGGATGAGTTGAACCTGAACTCAGGGTGCATTTTCACTCAAATCTCTGTTGGCATCAAGCTCCTTGGCAATTTTTTCCATTATCACAGTCAAAATAAATGAGCATCTTTTAAATTCTAGGTCTTGCAATTTGTAGGGGAATTAGGTAAGAATCGTCTCCATTCAGGAGATATCAGAACAGTCACAGTTGGACCCAACATAAGACGACTTCTTGTTTTCTTATCACTTAGTTTCTACTCATAACTGAAAGGCAGCCATTTGAACTTACAGCATCCATGATACCCCCAGCTAATACCTTCCTCTTTCCCAGTCCTCTATGAATTGTAGGTTTAGTCTGATTTCAAGCTTCAGTGAAATGCCCAATCTTCCTGCCAGTGGAATCTGGGAGCAACGTACCATGGTCTGCCTGAAAGACCTACAGCTACAGCTTGATCTTCAAAACTCGGCTAACAAACTTTCAGGCAGCTACCTCAAGGAAAGGAGGGCTCCATCAAAGACAACATTAAGCCCTTGGATCATCCTTGCTTGCCACTGTCTTCCCAGCTTCCCAAAACTGACACCAGATGTCACTAGTCAAAACTTTAACATGTGTCAGCACAAGGCAAGATAATTTCAACTCCTCCAAGATTCCTGGCTATTTAGCAGGAATGGAAGACTTGGCTGACACTGCTAAGACCAACAGCTTCCAGAAACCAATAGAAATAAGTCCAATAATGCTATACTGTAGATACCTTTGCTTCCTTGGGTCCAGGTTCACCGGTGCTGCCTGTGCCCCTAGAGTGGAGTTGACATGTTTCCATTTTAGGGAGGTCAGACTCAGACAATCCCTGAGTACTTCACTCTCTCAGCAAAGTCCAAGAGAGGCCACTGGTTGCAGTAATCTCTGTGCTTATTAATAGCAGATGACCTTGTACTCTAGACCTGTTTGTGTGTCTGAAAGACACAGGCAATTAGAAAAATTTCTATAATTCTGTTCACTTAACACTTCCCACTGCAGATTGAGTCTGCACCTAGAGACCTTCAACACAATTCCTCATGCCTGCCAAAGGTGGTTGGGCTGTCTTGGTCAGACCTCAGCGTCAGAGAGCCCAGAACAAGATGGACCATTTCTTACCCACACACTAGGAGAGGACGCACCAGTCTCAGGCCAGGAGTTCTTGGTAGAGACCTCAGAATGCATCTTCCCCATCTCGACTGTAAGGGGAGAAGGTGGGCTGTGAGTTTCCAGGTCACTTACAGCAGGTGTGGCGAGGGCTGGGGATTGCTTCAGGGAAACACCATGCACCCTAATGGAATGATGGGATATGGCAGCGTGGGTTTTCAAAGACCAGGTGTATATAAGAATTACCTGAGAGTAGTTGAAATGCAAATTTCCAAGCTTCCCTTACGCGGATTCTGTTCCGTGATAAATGCTCTGGGTGTTCCTAGTGCATGTGAGCTGAATTGCCAAATATTAAAGAAAAAGACCTAGCATGACAACTAACCCTGGAGGGCAACCCCTTCTGATTCATGGGAGGCTTCTGTTCCTAGGACAAGAGTAGCCTTGTCTCCTGGCTGTGTCAACGCTTTAACAATAATAAAGTTGACTTTTAGAGAGTACTTTTTCTTTGCCATGTGCTGTTTAGGGTGCTTAATATGCATCATTTAATTCACCTTCACCAGTGGATGCTAATATCATCCCTGCTTTATAAAAGAGGTCTAGAGTGACTGCTACTTGCCTGAGGTCACACAGTTATAAGTAATTAAAACCAGATGGCCTCTGACTCAAATCCCTGATTTCTGATCAGAATAATGACTCCCATATCCTAGTAATGTTCCCTCCCTGCAGCTAAAAATATTGAAGTGTGTCCTGACAACCACCTGGCTTGCAAGCACTGTTCCTAAACTCATACAGATCTGTGGTCTGGGTGATACCCAGACCCCTCCAGTGAAGCTGCATAAGGTCACAGCCCAAGAGTGATCCCAGAGACAGCCATAGAAAATGATGGTGGGGAACATTTACTCAGGCCTCATTTCTTGTTGGATGAGATTCTAAGAGCTCTACATGAGTTAACTCATTTCATCTTTACTATAACCCTATTATAATAACCACTTCATAGATGGAGAAACATGAAGGCCTAAAGAAATGTAAAAACAGACAAAGGCAGTACTATATATAATATGGAACTTTGGCCCACAAGCTGCAGCAACCTGCCCAGAAAACCAACTTTGCTTATCTACATTGACCAGCCCAGAGAACCAGCCTGCTGTAAGTCAGGCTTGTAGGAAGTCTGACTGCTATCTTTAGTAAAAATCTAGGAAAGCTAAACAATATCTTCTGTAACAATCAGCCCCCAAATAGCCAGGACTTGACGAATGACCTAGAGTTGAATTGAGTCCATGAATTTTGGTCCCTATTTCCAACTTAGGACCAGCCAGAGAAAGTGAAATAAGCTTCCTCACCAATCTCAGAGGCTGCCTGATTTCTAGGTAGCCACCCTCCAGCTTCTCCAGTAGTCTCCAAACAAGCCTTTTCTTTTTTCTACTATAAAGCTTTATCACTCCTCTGCCTTTGAGTCTGCCAAACACAAATGGTGGTTGACTCCCTTGCTATAGCAAGCTTTGAATAAAAAGCCTTTGCTTGTTCTCGTTGGGTTGATCTTTGTTGATTTCCACAGGTGCCTAAGATTACATAGCATTCAAGTGGCAGATCTGGGATTCAAAGTTAGGCACCTGGGCCTCAGAGTCCACCATCTTACCGCTAGTTTGAGAATGTAAAGCCTGCTTGTGAGCTTTCAGATTAACTCTTAGATGAGTAGCTGTTACCTCTAAGCCTTTGAAGATGGCTGATTCCCCAGATAAATCTACCGCCTTCATTACAATCGTCTAGCCCAGGGTTTCTCAGTATCAGCACTGCTGACATTTTTGGCCTGATACCCCTTTGTTGTGGGGGTTGTCCTGTGGATTGCAGGATGTTTAGCAGCATCCCTGGCTTCCAACTACTTAGGTGCCAGGACCGCCTTTCCAGTTACAACAAAAAATATCTCCAGATACTGTCCTGAATGGTGGGGGTTGGGGGAAAAATCTTTCCCACTGGACCACTGATCTAGAACAGTGTTTCTAAAACCTTTAATGTGAAACTAATTACTTGGGGAACTTGTTAAAAATTCAGATTAATTCAGTGGGCCTGGGGTGGGGCCTGAGATGCTGCATTTTTAACAGTTCCCAGGCGATGTCCGATGTTGCTGGTCTGAGCACTACACGATAGAAGCAAAAATCTAGAATATTTTCCTTAAAAATGTAGATTGTTCAGACCCACCCTAGAAGATACTAATTCAGAATACCTGGGTTGGGGCTCAGGTATCTGTAGTTTAACAAGCCTCTCAGGTGTTTCTGGTGCACAATAAAGTGTAATAACCCTCATCTTGTTTTAGTAACCTCAGGTCCAGTACAAAAGGTTTCAGATATTCTGAGATCAAGCTTAGATTTTCCTGGGGACACCACCCTAAACGGGGTCCACAGCTGTGAGAAAAGACATTGTACCAGCAGTGAGAAGTGTGCTGGGCTTCCTGCCCCAAGGGAAGGCTCTTTCTCTTGAGATGCCTGAAGAAAAATCCTGAGGCTGATACCGGCTGTCCTTGGATAAAGGAGGACTTCACAAACATTCAAGAAGCAGACAGGGGAGGGTAGTTCAGGAGATCCATGGAGCAAGGGGCAGTCAGGAAGTCTCCTAGTATAAATAAATTCCCGATATTTCTTCTTTTATTGAGTCAATCAGCTTAAGACTTAAAAAGAGACAGAGAAGCAAAAAGAGACAAACACCACCACCCCTCATCCGAGAAAAGTATTTGCCTAGCTTGGTATTGGTTATTACTTATTCTGAATCTTTCTTTCAATGGGTATAGATTTTCTGTCAGAAGAATTAATAAAATTATTTATTGCATTAAGATTGTTGAGTTAAAGTTTCATTTATTCACATGCAATGTAAAAATCTTAAAGAGATTTGGGGAACAGACAGAGATGAATCAGAGAGAGAAAGCCTAACTTGCTCTACAGTTACCTTGAGTCTCTAATAGGGACATACCTTAAATCCTCGCTACATACAGAGGAAGTCAGAGGGGAATTATTATACCATTTATAAGCTAAGCCCTTTGTTAGGTACTTTATGTACATTATTTAATTTGGCCTCGAAACAATCCTGTGAAGTAGATGTTATTGCTTTCATTTTTCAAACCAGGAACCAAAGTTCAAAGAGCTTAAACAATTCTTTGAAGTTGCATGGTAAGAAGATGGAAATCTGAGTGTCCTCTTTGGTTTCTTTCTCTACTTTACTACCTTCATTAAGTTAGCAATCTGCCATTTCTATCTCTACTGAAGGCTCAAATTATCATAAATGGGAGGTATTTTGAGTCTCTTAACTCTCTAGTTTTCCAGTGTTACTGTCAACCAATTTACTCTCCACAGGGCCACAGAGTGGGGTTTTGAAAGTGCAAACAGAATCATGATACTCAACTCCCACTGTCTTCCCACAACCCCCATTTCACCCTCAAAATGTCTCTCATTGCCCTTGATATGAAATCTAAACTGCTTATGCATCTCACAAGGCTAAGGTTTTACACCTGATTACCTTTCCAGTTTCACTTCTCACAACTCCTCTCTCTCTTTTGCCCACTCCCACTGCCCTTGCATGCTTTGTTCAAATCAGACTGCATTTCTTTTATTTCTTTTAGCGATTCCATACATGCTGTCTCTCATATCATTCTCTCTCCCTGAAATGCTTTCCCTTCTTTGCCCCCACTAGAGAGAGATGCGACTTCTTTGGGGAAGCCTGTGGTGCTTCTGCTTTGTGTTCTCATAGCACGTTGTACTTCCCTATCATGACACTCAATGCATTTTGTTATGGTGGCCAGGAAAATTCACCTCTCCGGTCTCTGAAGGAGGGGGCACAATTCAATGGCCTGAGCACTGAAGCCATATCTTCACCAGCTGCTCCCAGCCTATGACTGAGCCCAGGGGAATGCTAAGGCCAGTCCATTCCTGGTAGATGTGAGATTCTTCAGATTGCTGGCTAGGCTGGAAGACTCTCTTTATCTTTGTCAAAACTTTATGAGACTTGCACAGGAGATTTTTCCTACATATGTTCCTTACTTCTTTCCCTCCTCCACAGGGGCCAGACATGCATTGTGGTCTAATGGCTCTCCCAGCCCCCTCCGGCTCCCTCTCCATTTCCCTTTGCAAGCATGTTCTCTGAAAAATCTCTTGATGCCTGTTTCTCAGAGGAACAGAGCTAAGCTACTCATTTAATTTTCTGTTTCTGCTCAGTAGAGTATGAACTGTGTGAAAGAAGGAGCCAAGTCTGTCTTGTTCACATTTATAACTTCTGTACCTAGCACATAGTAGCTACTCATAAGTATTTGTCAGGTCAGTGTTGTTAAAGTTTGGATCTAATACTACCTTTGCTCTGACTCCAAAGCCCATTTTCTATTCACTTCCTCATGCTTCTTTCTCGCTGCTCCTGTCCTATATACATACACACACACACACGCACACGCACACACACACACACACAGCAATACTAAGCATGACAGGATATTCAGATATAGAGAATGATGACCCTTACTCCCCCCAAAAAGCTAATTGTACTGGAAGACTGGATGTGATCTGCAAAGAGCCTTTGTAGGGTGGGGATGAGGGAGGATGGAGAAAAGAAAAATATGTAGATATTTGATAATCATGTGCCCTGCCACCAAGACTTTGTTCTTTTACTGCTATATCCCCACTCCCTATATTAGTATCTGCCACATAGTAGGCACTTCATAACTTTTTGCAAAATGGATGAAGGAGTGAATTGAACCATCCAGTTCTATGGATTTTTCCATTCTCTCCATGTATTTGGATGCCGTTTAGACAAAAGTTCTAACACAAAACAGCTATCATAAATGAGCCTAAACTTGACATTTATTTTCCGTTTTGAAGATGACATTCCTCCACATTTTGTTCTGGGAAAAACAGCACTTGACAAAATGTTTTTTCAAGTCCCTGTAGGGTTTGCACTGACTGGGAGACTTTGCTCCTGAGATTCTAGGAGATATGCTTAAGAAGTTTCTAAGTTAAGAAAGTTAACTATTACCAATTTGTCCTTAAGAAACTAAAAACTTTTGCCAGACAAAAGCTTCCCTAATGAAAGTAATCCAACTAAAGCAGCATCAGAACACACTATGCCCAAGGCCTGTGCTGTGAACAGTGAACGATGGAAAGAGGAATGAGTTGTGGCTCCTGTCATTGTAACTCTGATGTAGCTGGAGGTGAGGACTTGTGACAGATACCTGGTGCTCACTTAGTGATTCTCACAGATGCTCAAAGTTCCAGCCATCTTTGAAGATGCAATTGAGTTGCCATCAACTCTATAAAGTTTTCCCAGATCCCCAACCTTAAAATTCATCTTTTTTTTCCTTCTGTTTCTCTCTGCATTTTGTTCCACTTTTCACAGTCTATCTTGATTTAGAGTTAACTGGTCACACATATGTCTGTTTATTCCCCCTGTTCATTTAAATTGACTTGATAGTATATTCCATGTGCCAGGTATGGGAGTAACACTAGAATTCAACAGCATTTTATGGCTGAAAAGATTATTTAAATCCCCAATTTCATTTTCTTTTCAGTCCTGAACAAAACTCTCTGAGGCAGGAAGGACTGATACATCAAAAGCCACTTTACAGAGGAGGACGTTGAAAGTCAAAAAGGTTGGAGGTGAACAGCCCCAGGTTTGAATTCCAGCTCTGCCATTTACTAGTCATGTGATTGTGAATATTCATTTATTGCTCTGTGCCTCAATTTGCCACAATATGGGGGATGACCTTAGGTCTTACTTTATAGTTATGAATGTAATTAGGAAAAGGTCTTAGCACAGGGTGCCTGATATTTAATAAATAATGTATCATAATAAACAATTTAATAAATAACTTATTAATAAACAGCAGCAGTAAATGCACAAATAAAGGTATGTTGCATGTCTAATTATAAGGCATATGTTGAAACCAGATCTTAACTCTAAGTCCAGGACTCTCTTGAGTATATACTGCATTGTCTATATCATATCATAAGCTTCTTCATGGCAAAAAGTACTTTTAAGTTATTTTTATATCTGCAGAAAGTTTGGGGCAGTATTTTTCAATTAATAATGGCTCAAAATTGTTAATTAAATAGAAATAATTATTTCACTAAATTTCCAGTCATCATCATTCACTTCTGTAACATGCCAGAGTACCTTGCATATAATGCTATTGTAGTATGCATCAGCTATGATTGTGTTGGATTTTGAGTGATAAAAAACGTGACAATAGTACCTTAAATCATAGAAGATTATTTATCTCATGCAAACAAAGCTGGGATACGTTACTCAGGGCTTTCACAACAACAGAACAATGACATGAAAGAACTAGGCTCCTTCTATCTTTCTATTCCTCCTTTTGTCTTCATTGTCTCAAAATAATTGTTGAGCATTGAGCCAGGATCTCCATCAGCCAGTTTATATTTCAGGTAGGAAGAAACGTAAAGGAAGATGTGTAAACAAGTAAAGGGGAAGAACTACATTACTGGCCATACTTAGCTGCAAAAGAGGAATGGATTTTATATACATAAAGACATCCAGTCTCTTTGTTAAAAAGATGACAAAAAAGAGAGATTGAGATAGGAAGGGATCAGATAAGTTTAGAGTGAGGCAGCATACAGTGTCTGCCTCAGGAAGATCTGATAAATTTTATATTAATTTGCATAAAATATTAATTTACTGCCTTATTATATAATCAAGATAATTTTAAATATAATTTAAAACCCTCACTTGCCAGGGTGGCAAAAAATTAAAAATTAGTCACATTTTAGAGTTCCTCCCTAAAATCATGTATTTATTAAAGTGCTGGGTGAGAATGGGGGTATTCTTACATGGTACCAGAAACAAAGAAAAAAAAAATCCTAAGTCTTCCATCTACTAGTAAATTGCTCATTGAATCTTTCAACAACGGGGATAAATCTTAAAGGCATTTTGCTAAGTAAAAGAAGTCAAACCCCAAAGCATATTTTATGTTTTCATCCATATGACAGTCTGGAAAACGCAAGACTACAGGAATGAAAAACAGATCAGTGGTTTCTAGGGAATGGTGGATAAAGGAGTGGTTTAGTACAAAGAGGTGATGGACTAGGGAGGGACTGGAAAGGTAGAGAGTGAGCCAATGCATAGCACCTGCCTTGGGAAGATCTGATAAATTTATTTTATATTAAGTTGTATGAAATGTTAAATAACTATATCTTTCAGGGGAACTTTGAGGATGATAGAAATGATCTACATGGTACTGGAGTGGTGGACAATATGATTCCATGCATTTGTCAAAATCCATAGAACTTTACATTACAAAGAAAGAACATTAATGCATATAAACTATAAAATAAAAATAATCAACCAGAATGTTGGGAGATCCCAAGATAAAGTGCAAGCTGAGAACAAAGAATGTCACTGTATTACAAATGTATGATGTAACTGTACTACAGGGGATAGGGGAAAGGTAGCTGGCCTAAGAAACTTTGGAAAATGGTGTTTAGACTGGAAACTGTAAGATTAAAAAATAGGAACTGTAGATAAACACTATACCCTAGTTGGTAAAGTTGTTTAACATGAAGGTGAAGATGAACAATTCTGAAACTGTTTTACATATATACTGGAGTTGAACAAATAAGTAAATAGAAGGTGGTGGTAGGTGCCAGGTTTCTCATCACCAGAGAGGAAAGTTGTAGATAAGTAAGAATAGAAGGCTACAATAACACGGTGGTACTTGATTAGAGACATCAATATGAACCCATATTTAGCTTAACATGCATATAGAGATGGATAGATATAGAAACAATTATAGTTAAATATGAAATCATAGGTTAGTATACATACATCTTACCTCTCTCTGTCTGCTGAGAGGGCTTTAAGATAATGACACCCCATTAGCAACGATCACTCCCAGTGCCCAAGCCTTGGTTTCAAAATACCAACCTCCATATTTGATAGCACAACAGGGTGACTATAGTCAATAATAACTTAATCGTACATCTAAAAATAACTAAAAGAGTGTAATTGGATCATTTGTAACACAAAGGATAAATGCTTGAGGGAATGGATATCCAATGGAGAATGGATATCATTCTCCATGATATGCCTATTTCACCTTGCATGCCTATATCAAAACGTCTGATGTATCCTATAAATATATATACTGACTATGTACCCATGAAAATTAAAAATTAAAAAATTAAAAAGAAATACTGCCATCCAAGAGGGAAATCCAAGCTTCTTGGAGAAGTGGCTAATTTTAGGGCTTATAGCAGGCAAAATCTATAAGTTAATTCTGGAGCATTTGGCATTACCAGGATGTTGGGAAATTTTGAAAAAATAAATCAATGGAGGCACGACAATGGGACACAAGAGCTAAACTAATGAAGCTCCCAATGACCAAAGTTGGAAAAAAGTTATGCAACAAAATAAATAACAGTGTACTAGATCATAACACAAAATATACACTTCATATAAATGAGATCAAAATGATATAAATAAGTGGTTGAATAAATAAATAGAAGAGACAAATCTTCCTTACAAAAGAATTCCAACTATACATAGAAACTACCCTCTCCAGAAGGCAAAGCTTAATTTCTCCCCAACCTTTTAAGTGTGGTTGGACTTAGTGAATTGCTTCCAAAGTATAGAGTATGAGAAGGGAAAAATAGCACCTTTATAGTAGAGAAACCTGGCCAACATTATCTAAACAAATTACTCAAGGTTATTAACAGTGATATTATGTACACTGGATATGATGTAATCGAAAGGGCACTTGACCCCTATGGTATTCTTTTCAAAAACCTATAACCTCAGTCTAGTCATGAGAGAAAGCTGAGACAAACCCAATCTGAGGAACATTCTATAAAATACCTGACCATTACTTCTCAAAACTGTCAAGGTCGTGAAAGATAAGGGAAGACTAAGAAACTTGTCACAGATCACAGAGGAGACTAAGAAGACATGATGACTAAATGTGGTATTCTGGATTGGTTCCCAGAACAGCAAAAGGACATCCATGGAAAAATTAGTGATATCTAAATAAAGGCTAGAGTTAATGGTAATGTGTCAGTATTGGTTTCTTAGTTTTGACAAACGTATGCAATAATAGAAAGTGATGACATTAGTGGAAACTGAAACAGGTGATACAAACTTAAGTGAGGGGATATGGGGAATCCCTGTACCAGTTTTATAACTTTTCAGCAAATCTAAAATTA